>NC_000010.11:56506731-56658246 GCF_000001405.40 Homo sapiens
AAGCAATCAGGATGGCACTTGCACGTTTTGCTTAGGAGTTTCTTTAGCTGTATAACAAGTTCAACACTTACAAGTTCTGCTTTTCACATAACTTCAGGGGACAATTTTGCTAAGTTTTGTGCTACTATTTAACAAGGACGTCCTTTTCTCTAGTTTTTAAAATATGTTCATCCATAACTTCAGAGCGCTCAACAGCAGTATCCTCTAGGTCCAGATTTTCACCAGCCACTTGTTCAAGGTAATATGGGCTTTCTCTATCATTCTTCCCAAAATTACTTAAGTATTTGTTTAAAAAGCACCCATTTCCAGGCATCAAAATATATGTTAGTTTTATATTGCTGCATAATAATTACCACAAAATTAACAGCTTAAAAATAAATCTATTATCTCACAGTTTCTGTGGGTTTTGAGTCAGAGCACTGCTTAACTGGGTCTTCTGCTTCAGGTTTTCACAAGTCTGCAATCAAAGTGCCAGCAGGGACCGCAGTTTCATATGAGACAGCTGATTATTTTTTAAACTCACACGGTTGTTTGTGATCCTCACAGTTGTAAGACTGAGGCCCTTAGATCCGGGAGTTAAGTCACAGTCCTTTGTTGTGGTTGCCTCCCATAATATGATGGTTTTCTTTATCAAGCCAATAAAGACAACAAGTCTGCTATAAGGATGGAGAATTATAAAATGTCATGTAGTCATGAAAGTCATGTACCATTACTTTTTCCATACTCTTTTAGTTAGTAATATATCACGGGTTCCTTCCATGCTGAAAAGGAAGGGGTAATAAAAGGACAGGAAAACCAGGTGGTGGAGATCATAAGGACCACCTTAAATTGGTCCACCACACAGCTGTAGCATGTAAGTGTTAATAGCTCTTTTTTAAAAAATATAAGAAAAACAAGAGAATAAAACATTCAAGTACTTGTAAGCATAGTCATGAAAAGGTCTCATTTTTTCTGATTCAAAAACACATACTGATATGGTTTGGCTGTGTCCCCACCCAAATCTGATCTTGCATTGTAACTCCCACATTTTCCATGTGTCATGGAAGGGACCCAGTCAGGGGTAATTGAATCATGGGAGCAGGTATTTCTCATGCTGTTCTCATGATAGTCAATAAGTCTCACAAGATCTGATGGTTTTATACAGACGAGTTCCCCTGAACAGGCTCTTTTTTGCCTGCTGCAATCCGTGTAAGATGTGACTTGTTCCTCCTTGCCTTCCACCTTGATTATGAGGCCTTCCCAGCCACATGGAACTGTAACTTTATTAAACCTCTTTCTTTTGTAAATTGCCCAGTCTTGGGGATAACTTTATCAGCAGTGAGAACAGTAAATTAGTAGCAGTAGAGTGGAGTGCTGCTAAAAAGATACTCAAAAATGTGGAGGCAACTTTGGAACTGGGTAACAGGCAGAGTTTGAAACAGTCTGGAGGGCTCAGAAGAAGACAGGAAGATGTGGGAAAGTTTGGAACTTCCTAGAGACTTGTTGAATGGCTTTGCCCAAAATGCTGAATAATGATATGGAAAGTAAAGTCCAGGCTGAGATTATTTCAGATAGAAATGAGGAACTTGTGAACTGGAGCAAAGGTGACTCGGATATAATAGCAAAGAGACTGGCAGCATTTCGCCCCTGCCCTAGAGATATGCAGAACTTTGAACTTGAGAGAGATGATTTAGGGTATCTGGCAGAAGAAATTTCTAAGCAGCAAAGCATTCAAGAAGTGACTTGGGTGCTGTTAAAGGCGTTCAGTTTTAAAAGGGAAACAGAGCATAGAAGTTCGAAAAATTTGCAGCCTGACAATGGGATAGGAAAGAAAATCTCATTTTCTGAGGAGAAATTCAAACCAGCTGCAGATATTTGCATAGGTAACAAGGCGTTGAATGTTAATCACCAAGATAATGGGGAAAATGTCACCAGGGCATGTCAGAGACCTTTGTGTCAGCCCCTTCTATCACAGGCCCAGAGACTTAGGAGGAAAACATGGTTTTGTGGGCCCGGCCCAGGATTCCTCTGCTGTGGGCAGTCTAGAGACTTGGTGTCCTGCGTCCCAGCTGCTCCAGCAGTGACTAAAAGGGGCCAAGGTCCAGCTCAGGCCATGGATTCAAAGGGTGCAAGCCCCAGGTCTTGGCAGCTTCCACATGGTGTTGAGCCTGCTAGTACACAGAAGTCAAGAATTGGGGTTTGGAAACTTCCACATAGGTTTCAGAGGATGTATGGAAACACTGGATGTCCAGGCAAAAGTTTACTGCAGGGGAAAGGCACTCATGGAGAACCTCTGCTAGGGCAGTGCTAAAGGGAAATGTGGGGTGGGAACACCCACACCGAGCCACCACTGGGGCACTGTCTAGTGGAGCTGTGAGAAGAGGGCCACCATCCTCTAGACCCCAGAATGGTAGGTGTGCCAACAGCTTGCACCATGCCCCTGGAAAAGCCACAGACACTTAATACCAATGCATGAAAGCAGCCAAGAGGGAGGCTATACCCTGCGAAGCCACAGAGGCAGAGCTGCTCAAGACCATAGGAACCTACATTTTGCATCAATGTGACCCCAATGCCAGACAGACCTTCAAAGGAGATCATTTTGGAACATTAAGATTTGACTGCCCCATTGGATTTTGGACTTGCATGGGGCCTGTAACCCCTTTGTTTTGGTCAGATTCTTCCATTTGGAATGACTGTATTTAGCCAATACCTGTACCCTTAATGTATCTAGGAAATAACTAGCTTGCTTTAGATTTTGCAGGCTCATAGGCAGTGTGATTGTTAATACTGAGTGTTCACCTTGATTGGATTGAAGGATGAAAAGTATTGATCCTGGGTGTGTCTGTGAGGGTGTTGCCAAAGGAGATTAACATTTGAGTCAGTGGGCTGGGAAAAGCAGACCCACCCTTAATTTGGGTGGGCATAATCTAGTCAGCTGCCAGTGTGACCAGAATAAAAGCAGGCAGAAGAAAATGAAGAGATCAGACTGGCTTCCCCTCCCAGCCTACATCTTTCACCCATGCTGGATGCTTCTGCCCTTGAACATCGGACTCCAAGTTCTTCAGCTTTGGGACTCAGCCTGGCTTCCTTGCTCCTCAGCTTGCAGATGGCTTATTGTGGGACCTTGAGATCATGTGAGTTAATACTCCTTAATGAACACCCCTTTATTAACAGGATAGATATACATCTATTCTTTTAGTTCTGTCCTTCTAGAGAACCCTAATACAGGTGGAAGGGACTTGCCTTGTCTTAGATGAGACATTGGACTGTGGACTTTTGAGTTAAGGCTGAAATGAGTTAAGACTTTGAAGGACTGTTGGGAAGGCATGATTGGTTTTGATATGTGAGGACATGAGATTTGGGAGGGGCCAGGGGCAGAATGATATGGTTTGGCTGTTTCCTCACTCTAACCTCACCTTGAATTGTAACTCCCACAATTTTCATGTGTGGTGGGAGGAACCCAGTGGGAGGTAATTGTATCACGAGGGCGGGTCTTTCTTGTGCTGTTCTCCTGATGGTGAATAAGTCTCACGAGATCTGATGATTTTATACAGAGGTGTTCCCCTCCACAAGCTCTCTTTTTGCCTGCTGCCATCCATGTAAGACGTGACTTGTTTCTCCTTCCCTTCTGCCATGATTATGAGGCCTCCCCAGCCAAGTGGAATTATAAGTCCATTAAAACTTCTTTCTTTTGTAAATCACCCAGTGTTGGGTATGTCTTTATCAGCAGTGGGAAAACAGACTAATACACATATGTTTAAGTTACTGCACTTAATCTCATGAATAGTTTGACTACCTTGAATACCAAGATTTAACAATGTAAAGTGACTAAAATAATACTTTTATGAAGCTACTCTGAGTATTAAATTAGATCAATTCTATGCCTGGTCAGAGAAGAACTCATTAAATGCTAATAATTATGATGATTATCATAATTTTAAAAATGTTCTCAAATTCTATATCAAGACTTAGTAAAGTCTTGGTACAGGCATGGCTTTCCTATATTATATCTAAGATCAACCTTGAGTTCTTTATTCATCTATGGTCTTCTTTCTTTGGAGATCATGGCTTCCTTTCACTACATGAGAGAAAAAAGTGGAGACTTACTCTTTTATTCTTCACTCCCAGAGTTCTAAGGAAATGGACCCTCACTAAGAATATGAGCAAGATGTGGTAGAAGAGTGTGGCCTGATAGCAATTTACAGAATACTCCTTCCATGATTATATCCCCCTATTCTATTTGTTCTAAACACTTTAGATGCTAAACTACCTTGAGAATCAAGTACAAGAAAGACCACAGATAAAATATTCTGTCTTCCAAAGCTTTCAGAATACATTTTAGTTTCTAATAGAGTCTGAACTAAGATTAGCAATAAAACTCTCAGCTGGAAGCTGTTATATAGGGGGAAAATAGTGTTTACTTTAAATCCAAAGTCCTTCCGGATTAAGAGATATCTGTCAGAGTTAATTTTATAGTAATTTAGTCAAATGTTGAAATTAGTCTAAATTAATTAATTTTATTAAAAATCGGTTAACAATAAGCCTTCAATATCTACTATAAGAAAAGTATTTGTTGAATCTAAGAGGATAAAAAGAACTGAATCATAGGTCCTGGCTTTAAGAAGTTGAAGTTCAAATAGGGAGGAAATTGAATGCATATAAATAACTCCAATATAAAATAGATGAGATTAATGCCATAAAATATTATAGTTAAAATGCTAGTGGAGTTCACGGAGGAAGGTGAGGTTCCTACTGGGCAGGCATTTCACTAAAAAGATGGTGTTTAAGCTGTGCAATGAAGAATAGGTAAATAAATTATAGCATATTACAATAAAAAATAAAATTGCAGATAGAGTGGACTTACAAACCAATTCTGAGTGGGAGAAGGACAGATTGTATAGAGAGACTAGCAAGTAGTTCAATTTGACTAGAATTTAGACTGTGAAAATAAGAATTGGAAAATATAAGAACAATGGGGATATCTTAAAAAGGCATTAATTTCCAGATTCAGGTGCTCAAAACATAATCTATAGAAGAAGGGAATTCATTTGAGCTTTTTTTAATTGTTTATTTCTTTGTTTTCTTTTTAGCATGTCTGATGGAATTAAATGTCTGCAAAGCAAGACAAATTTGACAATGAGATTCAAAATGAATTGGAGGTCTTAAATGGTGATACAAAAACATATTGAAAACAAACTAAAAAATCGAAATCTTTTAATAGCTTATATGAGAATTAGAGGACCCAAAATAAGAAAATAGCAGAAATGACAAGATGGCAAGCAATTTTAATAATATAAAAGAGGCAAAATAAAGAGGGTAAAAAAAAATTCAAAAATGATTTCAATAAGGGAAACTTGAGTGACTGAAAGGTAAGTTATGATCTTATCTGAAATCGTGAAATCATGGAAAAAAACTGAGTTAAGTCCTGTTTTAATTTTTTTTCCAGGCAAATGAGGCTATGTATTCCATATCACACAGGTGTAGTTTGAGTTCATGTCATACAGAGCTCTGATGACATGCTTGGGCTATTCTACGTGGTGGGGCAGAAACCTTTGGGAGGGGTCTTATTGAGGCTTACTTACAGAAAAGAAAACTAAAGTAGTGAGTGTATGAGACTAAATGAGACTGAAAGTGATCACTATAGGAGCAATGATGAAAAGAGAGAAAAAAAAGCCAAGGAACAAAACTTGGAAAATCTCTGTATTTAAGAAGTGGAAGAATGTAAGCAAGACCATAAGAAAATAAGAGAAGAAAAAACCCACAAATTTAATACAGAAGGAAAAGACCTTTAGGAGTGGCCAGGAGGTACAAGAACTCAACAACCATCTGAACACAAGTATTGATGTACAAAAGACAAAAAGGTTAGGGTTTTTTTGTTGGTTTCCGGGTTTTTTTTTTCTATTTTTTTTTTTCTTATTCTGTTGATGCACTAGAGGATTTCAAACTGTAATGAACCATGAGCGTATTTATATATTAATATATTCAAGTAATCTGCTTTGGAATAGCTGAGTAACCCTAGGGATGTATAATTCTTTCAAATCATACATACATATTTAAGAGAATGGTCTTTAAGTATATATAAATATATGTCTATGTCATTTACAAGTTCTTGTGTATTCTAATAGTCTCTTTACTTTTCTATATACACAGTCATATCATCTGCAAGTGAAGATACATTTAATCCTTCTACCACACAATTTATATTTTTTTTGCCATGGCGTTAGCTAGAACCTTCTAAACAATTTTGAATAGCAATGAGGATAGCAACAAGCTAAGGCTTCTTTCTGCTTTGTAGGAGAATAGTCTAGCAAGTAATTATAACACATAACATTAATAAAGGATTTTTTTCTGTAGAAAACTACCATATTTTAGTAAATTTTCTTCTAGATACATGCATATTTTCTAAAATCTCACAATCCTTTCTTTGGAATTCCATAATATTATTCTGTAGAATTATATAGCAAGATAAACATTTGATGCATTTTATTAGGTTTATTTTTCCCTTCACTCTTGACATTACTTCATGATATTTCTCTTATTTAAGCAGGAGCGAAGTTGTTCTCTGCTTACAGCTTCAGAGAAAGGAGGACACAACAGCATGTGAAAATCAATAAAGTCAATGCCATGCCCATGGGTTTTAAAAGTCCAAGTCTTGAAGGACCCAGGGCATAAACAATAGATTTTTAAAAATAGATGAAAAGGCAAACTACCTCACTTCCATGTTAACTAAAAACTCGCAGGAAGAAAGGAAGTCATAAACATAAGAGGGAACACTGAATTGTGTTCCTGTACACTGACTTATCCCCATCCCTGGTCCAACTTGTGTATGTGTGAAGAGGGAGAGGAGGCTGCAGGGTAGCAGGACATTGGAGTTCTGATTATTCCAGAGTAGAGGATATTTGTTTGTGGCCTTTCTTGAGAGAGCAGTGGAACTTTAGATTTCCCCTTTGCCAAGCTGCAGACACAGCATGTAGGTGGTATGCTGTGAGATAGCCTCCAAAGGTCCACACCACCAAGTGTCAGGCCCTGCTGTCATCCCATTCCCTTGAACATTGGCTGGACCTATAATTTCCTTTGGTCAAATGGAATATGGCACAACTAAGAGCATGTCATTTCTGAAACTATGGTTTCCACCTTGCTGTCATCCTCAGAAAAGAAAAAGTCTTTTTCTGAGGATCTCAGAAAAAGAAAAAGAAAGTCTTTTTCTGTTTCATCAAATTGGAGAAAGTGTGCTATCATGTGATGAGTGGTCCTATGGAGAAATTCACAGGAAAAGAAACTGGTCTCTGGCCAAGATCAGCCAACAACCACATAAGATGGCTTGAGATAACTGCAGCCCTGCATAACACCTTGCTTGTAACCTTGTAAGAAAACTTGAACCACAGAAACAGCAAGGCCTGGATTTCTGAATCAATGTTGATATATGTGTTTGTCATTTTAATCCACTAAGTTTTTGACTTGATTTTTTTTTCTTTTACAAAGCAATAGAAAACGCATACTGAGAGCATTATATGGCGTGATTCTGCAAATAGATTTGAGACTGGTTCTCAACCCAGTTCAGCGATAGTAGAATAATATCGTATTTACCCGTCAATAGCCCTGAGGAAGTACAGGGTCTTTAAAAGCTACATAAATTTCATTTAGATCCAGAGTAACATGAGAGCAATGAATGTAACCAAATATTTTCTGACCCTTGAGAGGAGAATGGCATTTACTGAGAGGAAGCTGAAACTTCAGAGACTGTGTACTAGGTTAAAAAAAAGATGATCTACCAGTTAGTTATTTTGAGTTAAAAAACAGTGCAAGATGGTATAATGCATACATTCAAGGATTTAGTGTATTGTGATAACAAAAACCAGATATTACCCCTCCTCTGTAAGCACTGTCACACACAGAGTGCTCACTCTGCTCTCCACTTCCAAGAACTTAGAATTGGAATGACTCAGATTAAATTTCTACCATCAAGTAGAATGTAAATATCGAAACATGTTCAAGGTAATTTAAAAAAATCACAAATGAATAAGTAGATGTAAGTTACATTTCACACATATTAGAATTTGTTCACTGAGATTCAAACTATAATAATAAAATAATTTTCTCCCATAATTTATAAATAAAATAAGCTGTATTAATATTTCAATGATATTGAATTATCCTTACATTACTCGAATGAAGCTGATTTTGTCCTTTCCTACCTTTGAATAATCATTTTGAACCCCCAAAACAATAACTACATAAATTATAAAATAATTATAAATAATTTCAACAAGGAAAATACAGGGCCTTTCTCTTAACCTGTTTTCTGTTGCTTATAACAGAATACTTGAAACTAGGTAGTTTATAAAGAAAGTAAATTTATTTCTTACAGTTTTGAAGGCTGAGAAGCCCAAGGTCAAGTGGTGAGGGCCTGGTGAGGGCTTTCCTACTGGTGGGGACTCTGCAGTGTTCTGAGCTGACACAGGGTATCACATGGCGACAGGAATAAGCGTTCTATCTCAGGTCTCTCTTTCTCCTCTGATAAAGCCAGTAATGCCACTCTCATAATAAACCATTAATCAATGAATGGATTAATCTATTCATGAAGGCAGAGCCCAATCGTCTCTTAAAAGCCCCACCTCTCAATACTGTCATAGTTCAACATAAGTTTTGGAGGGGAACAATATTCAAGCCACAGCAGTCTCTATTTAAAAAATAGTGGGATTTTTTTGTTTTTGTTTTTGTTTTTTCCTTTTAGAGACAGGGTCTTTCTATGTTGCCCATATTGGACTAGAATTCCTGGCTCAAATTATCCTCTCACATCAGCCTCTGGAGTAGCTGAGAAGACTACAGATGTGTACCACTACAGCTGACAAAATAGCCATTTTAAATAAAATTTGTATTGGTATAATTTTAGATTCACATGCAGTTATAAGAAATAATAGGAATATATCTTATCTACCATTTACTTTACCATATTCCCCTAAATATAACATTGTACAAAAGTATAGTATAATATCATAACCAAGAGATCGACTTTGATACAATCCACTAGTCTTACTCAGGTTTCTCCTCTTTTACTTTTGCTTGGATGTATGCATGTGTATTTAGTGCTATAGACTTTTATTACATGTGTACACAGATTAATGTATCCACAAACACAATCAAAATTCATTTTCACCAGCAATGTATGAGTGACACTATTTCTCTCCATCCTTATCAGGATTTGTTGTTTTTTATTTTAGTCATTCTGAGAAGGGTGCAGTGATAGCTCCTTGTGACTTTAATTTGCATTTCTCTGATGGCTAATGATCTTGAACATCCTTTCATGCGATTATTTACCATCTGTATATCTTATTTAGTGAAAGGTATAGCCATGTCTTTTGCTCATTTGCTAATGGGAATACGTGGTTCTTTTACTATGGAGTTTTGAGAAATTTTTGTGTATTCCAGCCACTAATCCTATGTTGGATACGTGGTTTGCAAATATTTCTCCAAATCTGCTTTTTGTCTTCTTGTTTTCTTCACATGGTCTTTCCTGGTATTGTCAGAAGTTCTCCCTTTTATATGGGGGAAAAACAACCTTACCTCTGCTGCCTTCTCTTATTAGGTTTGGGTAAAGAAGTGCAGGACTTTAACTGCCTCCTTCTGTTGGGTGGGGGGACATAAAACACAGTACTGCTGTGATTTCCCCCAAGTCCTTCCTTGGGTCTCAACCAGTATTCCTTCCTCTCAAAATCTCTTAAAGTTCACCTGTGATTGCCTCTTCCACTATTTCCAGTGTTTATAGTTGTACTATGTGAGGACAAACAGAGAAACATTATCTCCGGACTAGAACTATAAGCATTTTTGAAGAATATAAAACATGAACCAAAAAACTAGATGAACAAGAACATGAAAGAGTGGCAACAATAAATATTGAATGATTATAGGCAGAAAAATAAATGGTATTATATCAAGAGAGGAAATCAATTGGGGGAAGTAGAACTGGGAACATTATGGGCATATAATATTTTAAAGATAGCTTCCTTCTCAAACCAGTATTTTTCTGAACCATTGCCAAAATTCCATCGCAAGATGTGGAAGATGCTATATGGAAATTGTAGAGATTCGGCAGCCAAATAGGACCCACTTCCTTTGTTTTTAACATCAGTTATACAAGATTTAGGGGTCCATGGTTTTAGGAGAACTTTTCCTGTAACGACAAAATTACAGAAAAATTTCTATTCTGTAGTTGCTGAAATATCTGCTAGACAGTGACATGTACTACTTTCATATTCAAGGAAACATAATGCTAAACTGATATTCCTCCTCTGTCACCTAATATATAGGAATAATAAAACATCCAAAATTATCTTGATTGGCTATTGTAGTATTAATAAATTCTTAGTGAACAACATGCTATTAACAATTTAAAATTATAAGTTGAATAGAGTCTTCTATGAATAATAATAATTGAGTAATTACGAGTTTGGAAATGTTTTTAATATTTTGCCCTATAAGGAAAAAAGGGATACAGGAAAAAATAGAATTATAAATGATAATCCAGTTATTGTTTACTAGAACTCTTAATCAGACTGAAAGCTGTAAAATTCTATTTGTGTTCTGAAGTATGAGAAATTATTAAGGACTTCCAAGACTCAGTCAAATACTGCATTGGAACTGTTAAATAGCAGATTTATAAATTGTAGATTATAGAAATAATCTCTCTACTTTCCAAAGACCTAAGGAGGAAAGCATAACTTGTTCATTCATAATAACATTAGCTAATATTTATAGTGAATTTCACGAGTTCTCAGTGCTATCCTAAGTATAATTTTACATACATTTATTCATTTACTTCTATTAACTATATAAGGTGGTTACTCATCATTCTTTGCATTTCCATATGTGATTACTGAGGTCTAGAATGAATAATCTTCCCAAACTCTAAATATTGTTGCTAGACTACAAAGCGATTTAGGGGAACCAATAAACCATATAGAATTATTTTTGGCCAGGCGCAGAGTCTCATGCCTGTATTCCCAGCATTTTGGGAGGCCAAGCCAGGAGGATTACCTGAGGTAAGGAGTTCAAGACCAGCCTGGCCAATGTGGTGAAACTGTGTTGCTACTAAAAATTCAAAAAATATTAGCTGGGCATGGTGACAGGTTCCTGTAATCCCAACTACTCAGGAGGCTGAGGCAGGAGAATCACTTGAACCTGGGAGGCAGAGATTACAGTCAGCCAAGATCATGCCATTGCAATCCAGCCTGGGCAACAAGAGTGAAACTCCATCTGAAAAAAAAAAAATTAAAAAAAATATATTTTTTTCTTTTTTTTGTTATTGGAACTAAAAGTAATTTTTAACTTACCTGGTGACATTTTATATACTTATTTATTTACTTGTCTGTTTGTTTTTAAAATATCTTGTTACATACTGTATTAGTTCATTTTCACGCTGCTGATAAAGACATACCAAAAACTGGGAACAAAAAGAGGTTTAATTGGACTTACAGTTCCACATGGCTCAGGGGGGCTCAGAATCATGGTGGCAGGTGAAAGGCACTTCTTACATGGTGGTGGCAAGAGAAAAATGAGGAAGAAGCAAAAGCAGAAACACCTGATAAACCCATCAGATCTTGTGAGACTTACTCACTATCATAAGAATAGCATGGGAAAGACCAGCCCCATGATTCAATTACCTCCCCCTCAGTCCCTCCCACAACACATGGGAATTCTGGGAGATACAATTCAAGTTGAGATTTGGGTGAGGAAACAGCCAAATCATATCATTTCAACCCTGGCCCCTCCAAATCTCATGTCCTCACATTTAAAAACCAATCATGCCTTCACAACTGTCCCCCAAAGTCTTAACTCATTTCAGCATAACTCAAAAGTCCACTGTCCAATGTCTCATCTGAGACAAGGCAAGTCCCTTCCACCTATGAGTCTGTAAAATCAAAAGCAAGCTAGTTACTTCCTAGACACAATGGGGGTATGGGTATTGTGTAAATATAGCCATTCCAACTGGGAGAACTTGGCCAAAAACAAAGGGCTTACAGGGCCCATGAAAGTCCAAAATCCAGTGGGGCAGTCAAATTTTAGAGCTCCAAAATGATCTCCTTTGACTCCAGGTCTCACATCCAGGTCACACTGATGCAAGAGGTGGGTTTCCATGGTCTTGGGTAGCTCTGCCTTGTGGCTTTGCAGGTACAGCCTCCCTCCTTGCTGCTTTCATGGGCTGTCATTGAGTGTCTGTGGCTCTTTCAGGCACACAGTGCAAGCTGCCAGTGGATCTACCATTCTGGGGTCTGGAGGATGGTGGCCCTCTTCTCATGGCTCCACTAGGCAGTGCCCCAGTGGGGACTCTGTGTGGGGGCTCCAGTCTCACATTTACCTTCTACACTGCCCTAGCAGAGGTTCTGTATGAGGGCCACACCCCTGCATCAAACTTTTGCCTGGGCATTCAGGTGTTTCTTTACATCTTCTGAAATCCAGGTAGAGGTTCCCAAACCTCAATTCTTGACTTCTGTGCACCCGCAGGCTCAACACCACAGGGAAACTGCCAAAGCTTGGGGCTTCCACCCTCTGAAGCCACAGCCCAAGCTGTATGTTGGCCCCTTTCAGCCATGGCTGGAGCAGCTGGGACACAGGGCACCAAGTTCCCAGGCTGCACAAAGCATGCAGACACTGGGTTCAGCTGAAAAACCACTTTTTACTCCTGGTTGTCTGGGCCTGCGATGGCATGGGCTGCCGTGAAGGTTTCTGACATGGCCTGGAGACATGGTCCCCGTGGTCTTGGGGATTAACATTAGGCTCCTTGTTACTTATACAAATTTCTGCAGTGGGCTTGAATTTTTCCTCAAAAAATAGGTTTTTCTCTTCTACTGCATTGTGAGGCTGCACATTTTCTGAACTTTTATGCTCTGTTTCCTTTTTAAAAGGGAATGCTTTTAACAGCACCCAAGTAACCTTTTGAATGCTTTGCTGCTTAGAAATTTCTTCCGCCAGATACACTAAATCATCTCTCTCAATTTCAAAGTTCCGCAAATCTCTAGGGCAGGAGCAAAATGCCGCCAGTCTTTTTGCTAACACATAGCAAGAATCACCTTTGCTTCAGTTCCCAGCAAGTCTCTCATCTGCATCTGAGACCACCTCAGCCTGGACCTTATTCTTTATATCACTATCAGCATTTTTGTCAAAGCCATTCAACAAGTCTTTAGGGGGTTCCAACTCTCCCATTTTCCTGTCTTCTTCTGAGCCCTCCAAACTGTTCCAGCTTCTACCGGTTAACTCAGTTCCAGAGTGACTTCCACATTTTCAGGTATCTTTTCAGCAATGCCCCACTCTACTGGTACCAACTTACTGTATTAGTTCGTTTTCATTCTGCTGATAAAGACATACCTGAAACTGGGAACAAAAACAGGTTTAATTGGATTTACAGTTCCACATGGTTGGGGATGCCTTGGAATCATGGCAGTAGGCAAAAGGCACTTTTTACATGGTTGTGGCAAGAGAAAAATGAGGAAGAAGCAAAAGCAGAAACACCTGATAAACCTATCAGATCTCATGAGACTTATTCACTATCACCTGAATAGCACATAAAGACCAGCCCTTATGATTCGATTACCTCCCCCTGGGTCCCTCCCACAACATGTGGGAATTCTGGGAGATAGAATTCAAGTTGAGATTTGGGTAGGAACACAGCCAAACCATATCATATACCAGTCTGGTGAAAATTTAAAAGTTAATACAATATTCAACAGACACCAGATTATTAATTTGTTCATATGTAAGTATATTGATTTATTTTATTATGTGCATAAATCAACTATTTTGTTGGCTTCATTATGCAACTCATATATACTTTCAAAGTGACTTTTCCTGATGTTCACTCTTTCTCTATTTTATTGGCCACAGAACTACTCAAATCAGAGTGGTTTCTAAACATCCCTTGGTAATAAACCCCTTCAAAAATATTAATAGATTTACAGGTTCCCTCATTTGCACCTCACATGCAAATACAATCATGGACTTACATGTGTTGATACAGTTTCTGATGGTATGCTAGTCCCCTAATGCTGCCACCAGGTTAAAAAAAATCTCCATTTCCTTTTCTATTTTCCAATTTGTATCAGTCAAGTAACTCAAGTCACCAAATTTGTACATTACCAACTAAACACCTATTTGATGTTTAATGGCTAATCTGACATCCACCTGATGTGGATATAGTTATGCAAATTCTAAATATTTTAATTGGCTGTCTTAACTGGTATTCTTCAATGACTCTGGTCATTAGAAGTTCATGGCATGTGTTCCATTAAATTATGATATTCTTCCCTTTATTTTATATGCTTTAATAGGTATATCTCATGAAATATTAACATGAATAAGTCATGATAATTATGAACTGAAGAAATGTTAATATTATTACTTAAAAAGTGTCATGAGAAACCCTTTCAATGCCATCTTCAAGCATGAAATTACTCCTCCCACCAAAAAGGTTTGTGAACAGGACTGTCATGATCTCTGTATGCTAATGATGCCAGTCAGACGGAAACACCCAGATGCTAATAGAACAGAGAGATCACTCAAGGGCAAAGAGCCGAAGCTTCATGCAGATGTGTTTGAGATCAGCAGGAAGGCAATCTGCCAGTATTTTGAAACATCCATTGAAAGAAAGGTGACTCTTCTTTGGAAATCAATTTTAAAAGATACTGTACTAAAACCCTTATATTTGTGTTCTGAAGTATGACAAATTATCAAGATCTGTGAAGATCCAGCCAAATTCTGCAATACAACATTAATATTCTGCCTCTAATTAAGAACATAGAAAAAAGAAGCAGATAATTTAGATAAGATTGTATTGAACCCAGCAATATAGGGTACACAAGAGGAAAAATAAGATAACTAGTTCAGGTGAGAACTGTTTCCTTAGTCATACAGGTAAAGGGTTATCATGAAATCCTTAGTGAGGAGGAACTGAAGACTGATGCCAAAATTTACTATATATCCTTGATAGCTCAGTAAAATATAGATCATGGTTTTAATATAGAATTATTACCTTGCTCTTCATAAATTCTTTACACATATTCTCAAAATCCAAAATTATAAATTTTTTGAAGTACTATCATGGGTAGAAGGCAGCATCAAATATAGATAATGGGGTCTAGTACTCAAATATGGATATTAAATAAGCACCTTATTTGTGAAATTATCTGTCAAAAAACCTTTATTCTCTCTGCTTTGCTCTATTTTAAAGTCTGCCTGGTTGTGTGTTGAGTGTTGTATGTGGTAGATATTTCCCCCTTTTCATGCTAAGTTTATGCCATACAACATTGCTAGGTATTAAGACACACAAAAATACTCTCACTTTTTCTGAGTATATATTACATGTAAACACATATATGAACATGTGTTTGACAGTCCTTGACTTATAAAATCACTGTTCAGTGGTAGGTAGGCCTATGTAAACCTTCCCCTAAAGTTCAAGGAAGCTGACAGGTGGAAGAAAGAGGCTAGCAAATCCAGTTTCTTAGGAATAAACATTTAATGGGGAATTACAAACAGAAGCCACATACGTGTCTCAGGGAGCAGTAAGATGCGCAAGATAGTGGGTCAATGCACTATAACCCCACAGACCCAAGGTTTATATATTAACACCAAAGGGAAAGGATGATTCAGAATGCATGTGTAGGACAATTGGAGCATGGTAACATCAAGGTTGTTTGACTTAAGGGAAAGATTTACAGCAAGTACCTGCTCTTACACAAGTAACACTAGAAAAATTAGAAAACTTAGAGCCCTTTCTGGAACTGGAGCTCATCAGAAGTCAACGTGAAGCACAATAACTTCAGTTAACAAATGTCACTTCTTATAATATCAGACTCTTAGTTTATTGTATTTTTTTTTAAATAAAAAAACTAAAATGTGCCTTTTCGGACAATGTATGATCAGTCCACTCTAGATTACACATTTACAAATAGATGATGTAAATGTCCAACTCTCACTATTCTGAGAATTGGAATCTACTTCTTCTATTGCTTTGTAAATGTTTTATTTGCAGATTGAAAGTACTGTGAATAAGAATATTAATAACCTAACTGTAATAAGAATTTTAATAATTACATTAAAAATTATATATATAATAATTAATACACATATAATATTTATCCCTTGCCAGGTACTATTCTAAATAATAATGTAATTCATTACTAATTTAATTCTGACAACAATTCCATAATATAAATAATTATAGAATTGCTATTTTACAGATGAGAAAACTGAGGCACAGAAAGTCAAAATAATTCGCTCCAAGACAAACAACTCATAAGAAGCAAAACCAGGATTTAACCTAGGCAATCTAATGCTGTTCTGATGTAACATGTATTTGTTCAGCTTCTTTCTTTCTGTGAAAGTTAATTCCATATTACTCTGTTATTAGAATGCCATCAGTTTGAGCCATTATATGCCTTAGGGTTTTTCAAGAAAAGGTAATAAAAAATAGGCTAGCAAATTTTCTTTGATATCAAGTATGAAATGCACATTGATTTCAGGGGATTTAGAATATTGTTAAAAATGGGCAAATATAAAAGGCATAAGTCATTTTTATGTGTGATGTTCTTGAGGGTGAGAATATTAAGAAAAGTGTGTTCTATTTGCTATTTGAGAAATATTAAATTTGTTTGCACATATTGAAGAGGGCAGATTTCAAATATGAAGGAGAAAGAGAAGGACGAGAAAAACGAAAAGATGAAAGTTTCTCATTACAAGGCTTTCCATTCTCATAATGGAATATTGTGATGAAGCTGGACAGCATGAAGATGATATTATACCATGTATTTGAGATCAAAAACAAGCAATGATAGCACTAATATCATTTGAGGCTGTGCTGGTGACAAATGGAAAACTATTAATAAAAAAAAACCTTGGATATACTTTTAACATGACTAAATGAAGTATTAGATTTCTATACACTATTTTGTCTTGTTGTCCATAGATCTTTTTTAAAAAAATAAAATTAAGCCAATATTTTCCTATGAATTCTGTAGGCTTTCTAAAATACCACCCGAGGGAACAAAGTTTTTGCTGAAGAATCTTAACTTCTGAGTCTAAACCTTCTGCCAGGATGCATTCATTGTTTGGAAAATTAGTACTCAGGGAATATGTAGTGGACATCTGTTGATTTATTCTACTTAACACCCATTTTCTCCTTCTGTTAGAAGCAACTCCCACCTTAACTCTTTGCCCAATTACACACAGAAGCACACACACATGCATGTTTCTTTAGAACTGCTTCTCCCCATTAAATTCCACGTCATTCTAGTAGAGCTTCTAATCATAGTATCATACGCAAAGGCCATGGTAAACAGCCCCAATGATTGGGTTTATCACAGAAGCTAGCTGTTCTTTCTTGAGTTTACATATATTGAATCGGAAAAATAAGTTTCTCCTCTATGAGACTGCTAAATTATAGTAATACAAGCTTGGGGTTAACCATAGATATTTTCTCCCATCCTCCCACTTCATATGGAGACAGAAAGAAAGAGTGCATTGCTTCCCTTAATTCTTGTGGTTTTGCATTACATGAATTAATAAATTTCCTTTTTAAAAAATCACTTGGGTTTCTGTCACTTTTAAATAAAAAGAGAAAAAGGAGGAGAGATATGTATTCCAATGACAGGTTATTGTAACTTCCCTAGACAATAACGGTGTTTTAATGACTATTAAATAGTTTCCTGATTAATGTACAGTCATAACAATAACATCGGGAAATATATTAGAATCACATTTACACATACAACAAATATAAACCTGTAAATTAATTTGCAACATAACACAATAGGAGAGTTAACTACCATTCTTCTCTACCACTCTTCTTTATCTACATAGTTTCATGTGTTTCATTTCCAAAAAAAAAAAGATTCTATGAATTCTACAAAATTGCAGGCATTTTTTACTATTCTGCAAACAGTGGGAATAAAATTGGGTAAAATTTTTAGTGATACATCTTAACCATTTTTTACATCTCTACTCGACTGCAGGTTTGAGTAGAGCATCTTAATATTTACTCAAAGATATGGGGTTAGAAAGGACTTGAGGGATCCTTTTAATAAAAAATCTTTTAATAAAATATCCAGAGTTAGTCTGGCATTCCTGCCAAAAAACACCTGAGAATAAGCTTTAGAAGTCTGTACAACTCAGGTTCCACTACACACCTTCCCAATCTTCAGGAACTGCCTCTAGGAATGTGAATTTTGATAAAAACCTCTGTCATTCTGATGATGTTCACCTCTGATTGACAACATCATTCATGCATACATTGATTTTCTCTGTCATGTGCCTCAGTAAACACACTATGCTCTGAGACTAGAGACCCCTTGCAGTCAACATTAGGTAATATGGGACTCGCACAAGGAGGCGCTTAATAAATTTTTGTATCATAAATAAGTCAAGCTGCTTTGAATTCTTTATTAATTTATCTAACAGAAAACATCTGAATTCCTGGTGTCACGACTTGTTTCTTCCTGTATATTAAAACACTGGTTTTTAGGATACTGTGTCTTCTTTTCAATTACTTGTTTTATTAAGATGACATGTTATAATTTAAGACTAGAAATGTACCATTCAACATACTTGTAGTACTCACCCACCACTGTGCAAGAAGCTGGTAGAGCAGGGTACAGGATAAAATAAGGATGAGGGGATGGCTCAGGCTTTAGTGAAGGCACAATCCTGAACTTGGAATCATTATTGGTGTCCTACATAAGCCAATCTGTTCTGACCTAGATGTACTCCATAAGACAAAGCAAAAAATGAGCATTTCCTAACCATAGCCGCAGTCCTTAGAGAGTGATGACAGAATAATATCCCCAAATGAATTAAAAATCTGCACAAAATTGAAGTGGCATATGCTGGATATTTGGAATAAATGAGATCACAAAGGTGCAGCCATATATACGAGGATGCATGGGAATACAATTTTTTTTAATGTAACTGGCTATGATGGAGGTCAGTTTGCTTGATTTGTGGGAAAATAACACTCTTCTTATTGCAGAAACTATATTTCACTTAATGCATGTACATTTTTAACTTGCACAAAGAAGTAGGACAATACATAGCTGGGTGTTTTGTTTTTCAGCACCCATTCCCCCCTTTACCACTTTTTTTTTTTCCTTTAGAGAAGGACTGTTCTCCTATCCTCTATCTGTGTCTTTGGACTATAAATAATACCACTTTACTGATATGAGGATAAACATATCATGATGACTAAGATTGCCAAATTGGAATATCTCTACTCCTGGCCACAATAATTGGTTTGGAAATGAGCATGTAGCCTAAACTATCTCAATAAGAATCAGCCTCCATTTTTTATTTTATTTTATTTTTATTTTATTTTATTTTATTTTATTATACTTTAAGTTTTAGGGTACATCTGCACAATGTGCAGGTTAGTTACATATGTATACATGTGCCATGCTATGTGTGGGTGTGCTGCACCCATTAATGCTATGTATGGGTGTGCTGCACCCATTAACTCGTCATTTAGCATTAGGTATATCTCCTAATGCTATCCCTCCCCCCTCCCCCACCCCGCAACAGTCCCCAGAGTGTGATGTTCCCCTTCCTGTGTCCATGTGTTCTCATTGTTCAATTCCCACCTATGAGTGAGAACATGCGGTGTTTGGTTTTTTGTTCTTGCAATAGTTTACTGAGAATGATGATTTCCAATTTCATCCATGTCCCTACAAAGGACATGAACTCACCATTTTTTATGGCTGCATAATATTCCATGGTGTATATGTGCCACATTTTCTTAATCCAGTCTATCATTGTTGGACATTTGTGTTGGTTCCAAGTCTTTGCTATTGTGAATAGTGCCGCAATAAACATACGTGTGCATGTGTCTTTATAGCAGCATGATTTATAATCCTTTGGGTATATACCCAGTAATGGGATTGCTGGGTCAAATGGTATTTCTAGTTCTAGATCCCTGAGGAATCGCCACACTGACTTCCACAATGGTTGAACTAGTTTACAGTCCCACCAACAGTGTAAAAGTGTTCCTATTTCTCCACATCCTCTCCAGCACCTGTTGTTTCCTGACTTTTTAATGATTGCCATTCTAACTGGTGTGAGATGGTATCTCATTGTGGTTTTGATTTGCATTTCTCTGATGGCCAGTGATGTTGAGCATTTTTTCATGTGTTTTTTGGCTGCATAAATGTCTTCTTTTGAGAAGTGTCTGTTCATGTTCTTTGCCCACTTTTTGATGGGGCTGTTTGTTTTTTTCTTGTAAATTTGTTTGAGTTCCTTGTAGATTCTGGATATTAGCCCTTTGTCAGATGAGTAGGTTGCGAAAATTTTCTCCCATTTTGTAGGTTGCCTGTTCACTCTGATGGTAATTTCTTTTGCTGTGCAGAAGCTCTTGAGTTTAATTAGATTCCATTTGTCAATTTTGGCTTTTGTTGCCATTGCTTTTGGTGTTTTAGACATGAAGTCCTTGCCCATGCCTATGTCCTGAATGGTAATGCCTAGGTTTTCTTCTTGGGTTTTTATGGTTTTAGGTCTAACATGTAAGTCTTTAATCCATCTTGCATTAATTTTTGTATAAGGTGTAAGGAAGGGATCCAGTTTCAGCTTTCTACATATGGCTAGCCAGTTTTCCCAGCACCATTTATTAAATAGGGAATCCTTTCCCCATTGCTTGTTTTTCTCAGGTTTGTCAAAGATCAGATAGTTGTAGATATGCGGCATTATTTCTGAGGGCTCTGTTCTGTTCCATTGATCTATATCTCTGTTTTGGTACCAGTACCATGCTGTTTTGGTTACTGTAGCCTTGTAGTATAGTTTGAAGTCAGGTAGCGTGATGCCTCCAGCTTTGTTCTTTTGGCTTAGGATTGACTTGGCGATGCGGGCTCTTTTTTAGTTCCATATGAACTTTAAAGTAGTTTTTTCCAATTCTGTGAAGAAAGGCATTGGTAGCTTGATGGGGATGGCATTGAATCTATAAATTACCTTAGGCAGTATGGCCATTTTCACAATATTGATTCTTCCTACCCATGAGCATGGAATGTTCTTCCATTTCTTTGTACCCTCTTTTATTTCACTGAGCAGTGGTTTGTAGTTCTCCTTGAAGAGGTCCTTCACATCCCTTGTAAGTTGGATTCCTAGGTATTTTATTGTCTTTGAAGCAATTGTGAATGGGAGTTCACTCATGATTTGGCTCTCTGTTTGTCTGTTATTGGTGTATAAGAATGCTTGCAATTTTTGTACATTGATTTTGTATCCTGAGACTTTGCTGAAGTTGCTTATCAGCTTAAGGAGATTTTGGGCTGAGACAATGGGGTTTTCTAGATATACAATCATGTCATCTGCAAACAGGGACAATTTGACTTCCTCTTTAAACCAACGAGAACAAAGAAACAACATACCAGAATCTCTGGGACAGATTCAAAGCAGTGTGTAGAGGGAAATTTATAGCACTAAATGCCCACAAGAGAAAGCAGGAAAGATCCAAAATTGACACCCTAACTTCACAATTAAAAGAACTAGAAAAGCAAGAGCAAACACATTCAAAAGCTAGCAGAAGGCAAGAAATAACTAAAATCAGAGCAGAACTGAAGGAAATAGAGACACAAAAAACCCTTCAAAAAATTAATGAATCCAGGAGCTGGTTTTTTGAAAGGATCAACAAAATTGATAGACCACTAGCAAGACTAATAAAGAAGAAAAGAGAGAAGAATCAAATAGATGCAATAACAAATGATGAAGGGGATATCACCACCGATCCCACAGAGATACAAACTACCATCAGAGAATACTACAAACACCTCTACGCAAATGAACTAGAAAATCTAGAAGAAATGGATAAATTCCTCAACACATACACCCTCCCAAGACTAAACCAGGAAGAAGTTGAATCTCTGAATAGACCAATAACAGGCTCTGAAATTGAGGCAATAATCAATAGCTTACCAACCAAAAAGAGTCCAGGACCAGATGGATTCACAGCCGAATTCTACCAGAGGTACAAGGAGGAACTGGTACCATTCCTTCTGAAACTATTCCAATCAATAGAAAAAGAGGGAATCCTCCCTGACTCATTTTATGAGGCCAGCATCATCCTGATACCGAAGCCTGGCAGAGACACAACCAAAAAAGAGAATTTTAGACCAATATCCTTGATGAACTTTGATGTAAAAATCCTCAATAAAATACTGGCAAACCGAATCCAGCAGCACATCAAAAAGCTTATCCACCATGATCAAGTGGGCTTCATCCCTGGGATGCAAGGCTGGTTCGATATACACAAATCAATAAATGTAATCCAGCATATAAACAGAACCAAAGACAAAAAACACATGATTATCTCAATAGATGCAGAAAAGGCCTTTGACAAAATTCAACAACCTTCATGCTAAAAATTCTCAATAAATTAGGTATTGATGGGACGTATCTCAAAATAATAAGAGCTATCTATGACACACCCACAGCCAATATCATACTGAATGGGCAAAAACTGGAAGCATTCCCTTTGAAAACTGGCACAAGACAGGGATGCCCTCTCTCACCACTCCTGTTCAACATAGTGTTGGAAGTTCTGGCCAGGGCAATTAGGCAGGAGAAGGAAATAAAGGGTATTCAATTATTTTTTTTTATTTTAGAGATGGGATCTCACTATGTTCCCCAGGCTGGTCTTGAATTCCTGGCCTCAAGCACTCCTGCTACCTTGGCCTTCCAAAGTGTTGAGATTACAGGCATGAGCCACCATGCCTGGCCAGCCCCACCTTTTGTCAGTATTAATGGTAAAGAAACATCACTTTATTCTCTGGTATAACGTAAGGCTGGAGCTTCTTCTGAGTTGTTAGTCACTACAGGGAAAACTGCTTGAGAAGAATGAAAATTATACAGAGAAAAGTACAACGAATAGGGAAGAGAAAGGAGAGAGACAGGAGGAAACATATTCATGGAGAGACAGACAAAGAGAGACAGATTAAAAGAAATAGACAGACCATGTGCTAATGACACTGTTTGAGGCTCTGTTTCCAAAGGTGCCTCAGGAGACCTCTTTCTCTTCCTTTGAGCTTCTTATTTATGTAATAAACTCCTTTGTTGGTTTGGGTAAAATTGAGCCAATATTTCATGATTTGCACCAATAAAAATCCTACCTAAACCAGATTGGCCAAGTGTTTTTAAAATTAAGCTTGAGACAAGCATGAGATGAATTTGAGGGTCAGACTGGATCTAACAGGGGCCCAGGATCTGTCTCCACCTCCTCGGCTTTTGAGATCATAGAAACAATTACAAATTCCTAAAGGAGACAAGCTTGCTTGTACATACACACACACACACACACACACACACAAAAACACACACACACACAGTAATGCCTAAACTTCCTTTACAAAAAGAAAAGTATTTCACCCAATCAGAGATTAGTCAAGATATTAATGAAGTTAACGTCTTGTGGAGAATGGAGCGAGGGGAACTTATGGCTTCAGCTTTTTTTTCCAGAAGCACCAAGGAAGGATGAATTTCTCATTCAAACTAAAACATTTCTCAGAGTCAAAAAGCACACCAGTAATAATGACATCAGGACAACAGGGATGAATCGGAACTATCCTGGAGAAAACAAGGCATATTTATTCTACATAAAAGGAATGAAATTGAAGAATGGAGAAAACACCATTTTTAGTCCAAAAGTCTCAAGATAAAATCTTTAATTTGTCTTTAATTTTATTTGGCATATTGCTTTACAATTCAGAATTTGTTTTTGTATTTTAAAAATTGAGTTACATCTTTTATCTTAAATGAGTTTGTTTTGAAACTCAATAGACATATTCAGTTTTAAAACTACTGAGTCTTCTTTTTTTAATTGAAATCTAATTTTCATAGAAGAAAAGAAGGACCACAAAGACCTTATATAGCTGAAGTGAGACAGAAAAGAAAAAAAAAAAAGGTCAGAAGCATGAAAAGTGGCCAAGAGTGTCTGTATATATACCTAGCACTGAGTTTATTCATTGGCTGGAGGTCATCCTATGACTTTCTTGAAGACTGAGGGCACTACCTGGAGGTAACATGGGTACATTATTATGTATTAGCACAGATACTATGAGTCTTTGTAACAAGAACAATTTTGTGAGCGTTTCCATCAAGAGAATTGATCATCGGGGATCTGGCAGCCTGCCTAGCTTATTATCCAGAGTAAACTCTGGCCCTACTCTGATCCATTTAAATATTATGTCACCTTATAAAAAATTCTTGCAAATAAACCTTCAAGGATTTTTAGTTCTACTTAATTCATTAAAAAACAGCCTTGTGTAGACAGGGATTCAGAGATCTTTAAACATTAGTCCCAGGTCAATGACCACGGAGCTGTGTGATCTTGAGTAAATCACCTTATTTCTGAAATGTGTTTTCCTAAATTGAGGGACCAGTATTGGTGTGGCTGAGCAATTAAGAGCAATTACTCAGCAGTCACATATGAATTCAAAGTGTGCATCCACCGTACATCTGTGGAAAATTATCTACCCTGCTAAATCTTTGGTTTATCATCTGAAAAATAAGAAGAACATTAGTAACTATCTCATAAAGTTATTGAGGGCATAACATGAGATGCTGCACTTATCACAGCACCTGGTATACATGAAGGGCTCAGTAGCTTTAAAAAAAATTCCCATGACTCCTCCAAGCAGCAATATTGTAATATTAAACCTATTGCTAAAAACAAATAACTTTAAAGCTAAAGTAAGTGAGCTGTATCATTTATACAGCAATTGTATTTTCCAAAGTTTGATATACCAATATACATCCTATCCTAAATGCTTGAAATACAACATTAACATCCCTCTATTTAGAGATAAGAGCCTAAGTTTGCTCTCCTTTTTAATTGTGTAGACCAATATAATATAGAGGAACTAATGCTAGATGACTTCCAAGACTAGGTCTGCGAAGGCAATACACATTTCATCCGGCTCTCTCTGAACAAGCTTTATGGAACCCCTGAGCCAACATGTAAGAACTCTGGTTACGTTCCCCACCCTGTGTCGAAGTGTTCTCATTGTTCAATTCCCACCTATGAGTGAGAACATGTGGTGTTTGGGGGCCTGTCCTGGGGTGGGGGGAGGGGGGGAGGGATAGCATTAGGAGATATACCTCATGTAAATGACGAGTTAACAGGTGCCGCACACCAACATGGCACATGTATACTTATGTAACAAACCTGCACGTTGTGCACATGTACCCTAGAACTTAAAGTATAGTAAAAAAATTTTTAAAAATAAAAAATAAAAAGAAAGAAATGATAAAAAAAAAAAAAAAAGAAAGAAAGAACTCTGGTTACCTGAGTCATCCATGCTGCAGATAACTCATGGAAAAAAACACAGGAAGACCGAACTGTCCAAGGAACCCCAATTGTTCTATTGTTCCAATCTCCGGCTATTTTGGCTCTCCTCCCATCAACTGTTAGACATGTGAGTGAGCTTTCAGGTGACTTTAGCCTCTGCTTTTGAACCATCCCACTTGACACTCTGTGAAAGAGAGGCAAACTGCACCTGTGAAATATTTCCCAAATTGAAGATACGTGAACAAACTAAGTTGTTGATATTTTAAGCCACTAATATTTACAGTGGGTTGTTATGTAGTCATAGTAACCAGGATATCTAGGAGTTCAAATGCATTCTTTATATGCCCATTAACAGGAAAAAAGTTCAGGCTCGTAAATTTAGAAATCCAACTCATTTTTCATCACTTATTCCTTTGACTGTGTGGTAAAGATGTGTAGACTATATGACCCTGCACCCCTGTGGATGAACACCTAGTGGTAGGGCAATCACAGTTAAACATATGAGCTCAAAAAAAGCATCCAAGGAAGGCTGGCCTGCTTCTAATGTTTTTCTTTGTCTTTATTCCATACTGATTAGTCTTGACAATAGAAATGATTTCAAATACCGTGTTCATTTTAGGTACAAAATATCCAAATGGACAAATATATTTACTTTATTCCTATATAGTTCTTTAGATCAATGTTGTTTACTCAAAATTCCCAAGCTTTTCTTTCTTTTTTTTTTTTTTTCAAATACAGGTGTCATTTTTATTTTCCAAAATAAATACCATGTTCCTGGTTCAGTAAAATTAATTTCCTCAGGAGCTATTATTCCTCATATGATTTCATTATTTGCAGTTTTATCTTTTTATTAATATTGAAAATTATTTGAAATCCAATGCAAATTTTATAGCTACTTATCCTGGCTCAACAATTTAAAAGATCAAATTCAGGTACTTGGAAATTTTGTTCTTGAGGTTCTTACCCACCAGCTTCATCAAATCAACGTTGGCTGCGTATGTCACAAGTAAAGTATTGGAGCTTTGCATGCATGACCTTCCATAGCACATCAATCTCACTTCAAAGGACAGAATAGAAAACACGTATTAATAAAGAATATGTGTTTTATCTTTGTTGTTAAATTCCCCTGCTGAAAACATCTAGAGATGACAAATTAATATTTAAAAAATTAAAATGCAAATTAAAGGTTAAAGTGCTAGTGCTTTGCAAGAAACTTTTAAAAATTAAAGGTAAAGGTTGTCTCAGAAGAGTAGAGGAGAAGCTAATCAAATGTGATGCACTATTCATTTCAGAAAGTCATATTTGAAAGAGGAAGACAAGTTCTGAAACATACAATCTAAGTCATATCAAGAAGGCTTTCCAATCTCCCCTCATTTTGATTCTTTCTAAACTTTCAGTTATTTTTATTATTTCTTCTAAAGCTAATAGTTTCTAAATATATAATGCAGATTATTAAAAACAGTTTACTTTTGTGTCTCTCTGCTTGTGAATTATTGGACACCTTACCCAAATTTCACAGAGACCTAGAAAAATGAAACTATGGTGTCAGAGAAAAATCAAAATGATCAGGAAAGTGAAGGAAACATCATTTAAGTAGAGGCAATGGAGAGTTAAGTTTCTGGAGAAAACAAACAGACACTGATAAAAAGTTGTATTCCAAGTTTATGAAGTTATAACAATATAAATTAAATCATATATCATATTCAATTTATATTGTGTTATGTACTGTGAAAGCTTTAAAGTAAGCCAGTTGATATTTAAACTTATTGTAGATGGTATGAAATTAGAAAGTGCACAATTTAGGATTCACTAACGTTCTGAGACAGTCTTCTGGTTCTAATGCTAAAACTAATTAAAAATCTAATGTAAAGTTATTTAACCTTGCTAAATCCCATAATGTATACCAATTTATAAGGGGCTTTTATTTGGGGATATTTAACCAGGATAAAAGGAGGGGCTGTAAGGGGAATCTGAATTCCCTAATATTTTGTGGACATGTAATATGGTGGTGAAGAAGGCCCTCTCCAGAGCCTGACCAAGCTGACAGCTGGATCTTGGACTCCTCGCCTCCAAAACTAAAACACAATAAGGGCTCAGGCCTATGCTGCCCCTGCCCCTTCTGCCCCCTGACTTTCCTTAGTGTTCTCCCAGGTGGCCCTGACTGGGGAGCTATGCCTCCTGTTTGTAGGGACCCAGATGACACTGGCTTCCAGTACAAAGGAGTCCATGGATAAGCCACCTACAATCCCTGAGAGAAGGAAGCATAGCTGTTCACATGGAAGAATGATTTTTCCTTGTTCTGAATTCTTAAAGCAGATTTTTCATGTGAAATATTAAAAATCGTTCCTACCGTGGCCAAAAAGAAAATAGCTTGATTACATCTTCAGGGTGTCTGTGGTTCCCAAAACCTTAAGAACTACATAATTAAGCAATTTAATAATCTCTTTTAGGACAAAGATTGGACTTCTCAAACCTATCAGTTAAATTCAGACTATGTACGGCTACGGAGTATTCTGATTTTTAGCTAAATGATGCAGTTAAATTCATTGATACAGAGTTGAGTCATGAGGAAAACATTAGAGATTTTTTAAGAATTTACCGACAACTTCTCTAACTGATGTAAATGAGAGGAAATGTACCATTCCACCATCTGGCTCATGGTGGTGTGCCATGAAACTTTTGGTCCAGCCACTCATATGCTCTGATTGTAAAAGACAATGAATATTGCAGGCTTGGATAAAAACAGTATAAAATATGAAAATTTTTCAGCACTTTGTAATAATTTCAGTAGCTGTGAAATTTTTATCAGGAGGTTCACCTATACTTACAAAGGGGTTCAGGGTCACTGGGTTTGCTGTCTTCCTTCATAAACACTGATCCCCATGTGATTATTGAGATAAACATTGCCTTTAAGAGCCATTATGACTCTTTGATGAGTCTCTAATTTCAGTGATGTGTCCAAGCTGCTACCTGGTGACTAGTTCTGAAGGTAAGGAATGCTGCAAAAGTAATGCTAATTGGCAAATACAAAAATTTACCGAACGTTGATTTATAAAGAATTGAAATTGCAGTATTTGGACATTTTTTTTCAGGTATTATCTGATGCTGTTGTTCAAAGCAAAACATGCACCAGACAAATTTAAACAGGCAAGAAAAAATTTATTTATGGTTATTACAATAGAGATAAAGATGAGAACTCTGGGTTCAATTTTGCTAAAACAAAGAACAGGAAAGTTTTTAAAAGCTAGGGTCAGGGAATCATAGACCAGCTGAGTTTGTTAATTGTCTTTATCCAAAGGAAAAGTAAACTTTCTTTTAAATTTGTGACAGCATCTAGTTTTATAGCTTGGAGCAAGGTAACCATCACAGTTAGAATCCTACTGTCCCCCAGAGACTGGGAGATAGGTGCTCTGTCTTTCTTGAGGATTAGATTCCAATGAGATGACTCTCAGGTCCTTGAGAAAAACATCCTTGGGTTGTAAAATTGGCAATAGGCTTTTAAGAAGATTTGCATCTCAAAGAGGCAGAGAAAATTTCAAAGGTAAGTGCTCTAAGAAAAGGAAGGTCAGGGCCTAGAGTCAGGAAGAAGCCTGTCTAAAAGTTTAGTCAAGCTGAGGGAAACCCTAAGGTCACTACCAAACTTTCAAATGCACTTCACTTTTTTCATATGTCACACAGTACCTGTCAATTACAGAATCACTGACTGTACCATGCTGCCAATAAGAAGTTACCATTTCAGCTAAGTCATTCAAAAAATGACGACTACCGAGAGTAATATTTTTTAAAGGAGGTAATGTGAAATTCATATTCTGCCATTTAGAGTAGATTTTCTTCCTGCCCAGCAATTTATCTTAGAATTTTCTTCAGGTATTTATGTGACTTTTTAGTTGTTGTCCATTTCCTATTATTTCTACAGTACATTTTAAATGAGTGCATGAATGTAGTCTAATTTTTATTTTAGTATATCGTATTTATCAGAAACAGGACAGTCATTTCTCTTGACATTTTGTACAGAGCACCTATATGCTTACATATATTTTGTCTTGATTGTAGTGTGTGATCTGCTTAATCAGCAAAATGCTCAGGATTGTCCATTGCTACACTTTGGAGTCCATCATCCCTTGAGTGCACTTTTTCTGGGGCTTCCTTATGCGTCCATTACCTACATCACTCACCCTGTGCCAAGAGTAATTATGAAACATGTTCTCTAGCCAACGACCTTGGTGCGAAAATAACCCCTTGACAGTGAATCTCTACATTAGTGGCAGTAAGAAGGTGACTTATCCCATTTCAACAATTAAAGGGACTTTATAACAGTCACATTTACCCAGATGTACTGAACAAGGGTACTGAAAGAAAACGTTTAGTCAGAGAAAATAAAGCATGAGAGATGTAGCTTCACCCACAAGGGGAATAGTAATATGCTAGTCCACTTCTTCACAGCCCTGAACTTCAGATTATATTATTACTACTCCCAAGCAAAGAAGGAGGCCCTCATTGTTCAAATCCTAACTTCAAAACTATGATGTTAAAACTCTCCAGGCACTGGTCTGATTACATAGACAAAGCTATATTTTCTTGACTCTCAACACTTAAACACTCTTTTGTAAATTGAGTTGCCCAGAAACAGATTCTGAAACAGATACTGGCATGTGGAGGTTTACTGGGGATGGATTTCAGAACTACAAGTCTATAAAGGAGTGACAGAATCAGGATTGAGTAGAGGGAGGAGTTGAACTAATGTGGTGTATTTTCAGCAGCGATCTTGACAGAACTCAGAGAAATTCTAAACCTGGATGGCCTTCAGAGATGCTCCAGATTGAGGCAAGGGGGTCTGGGCTTTGGGCTCCCTTGTTGATGAGTACTTGAATGTTGACTATCATAGGAGGGGTTGATTGAGATGACTTTGAGCAAATAGCTGGCTTCCTTTGGGAAATTTTTGAGGTTCCGTATACCACAAGTGAGGAGCAGCTACCACTTTCAGCTCTCATGGGAATTAAGGCCTCAGTACTGAAAGAGGATCTGAGTGACACAGCACAGCATCCACTTTAGTCCAAGCTTTGTACATCTTTGATCGACTTGCTTAATATAATACATTTATGCAAACTGGGAGTAGTTTCACTAGAATTCTGTTTTTTTCTTTTCTTTCTTTCCTTCTTCTTCTTCTTCTTCTTCTTTTTTTTTTGACAGGGTGTCTCTCTGTTGCCAGGCTGGAGTGCAGTGACACAATCACCACTCATTGTAGTTTTGACCTCCTGTGATCAAGTGATCTCCTACCTTAGCCTCCCAAGTACTGATTTATTTTATCTTAGAAAAACTTGCCAATCAAAGTCAGTGGAGCGAAGTAAAGTTTCAGCAGCTGCAAATGAGATTCAACATCTTCCTCCTATAGTTCCCATTCTAGATTCCCCTCACCTTCCATTAGTGCATCTACTCATATAGTAGCTTACTCCACCACCCCTAAGAAGTCTACACCCCTGATCTTCATGCTCTTTTTCTTCACCTTCAAAAGTATTCAGGGCTGTGCCAAGAGATACTACACTGGATCATCTGAGTGCCAATTGTATACTTCCCTGTTCCCAGTAGGTATTAACAGCTTTACTTCCTTGTAATGTTCTTCCTGATCTCTTGGCACAAGGAATACAAAGTGATCAGGTGTTTGTCATAACCTACAGTTTAATGTGAAACTTACTATGCCCTGATATAATGACTTCCCTTCTGGAACAGAGACTTCTAGACCAGAGTCTTGAGTAAAATAAGTATAATTTTACTAAGTGCAATACCAGAAGTGATGGTATAAGTTGCAAGGCCTCTTGAGGTCTGATCTCTGGAAATGCCTGGACATCATTTCTGCCACATTTTTAGTCAAAACCTGTCGCGGGTCATCCCATATTCAATGTGATGCAAAATAGAAGGTACCTGTTAGTGATGAGGTAAACGAAGCCACATTGTAAGAGAGCATGAAAGGAATTGTAGCCGTCTTTTAGGGTACTCTATCACATTTAACCATTCAGATGATATATGTTGAACTAAAGCAAGGGCCTTTGTAGCCATGTCATCCAGTCATTAGATGTGAGCTGCAGCCACATCTAATGAGGCATAACCTTGGGAAAGGTTGCTCTCTTTGGCTAAATGGAATTTCCAGAGTGACTCAGCTATGAGTCATCAGAAAGCAAAAATTCTGGCAGCCTGAGGAAGGAGTATTTCAGTCTTAAAGTGGAGATCTGGGCACCACATTTACAACACGCAACACACACACACACACGGAAACCCCCTACACACTCTGATTTGTGCACTGTGCTAATATTTTACAGATGCAAGGATAGTCACTACACAAGTTAAAAAAATTATTAAATGGTTTCGCATTCTCCTAACACACAAGGACATGTCAATTCACATATCTCAATCATTTTTCATTCACTCCTTGGTTCTAGAAAACTTGCCTACCTATTTATGAGCAAGACTTCAAGATTCAGCACAGACGTTCCCTTGCCTGATGATCCAGCTAGAATAGAACCCTTCTATCCATATGCCTTCTATCATTGGTACCAGTAAAATTTTTATTAACCTTTAAATGTGCTTGCCTATGTCTCCAACTAGAAGTTAGACTTGAAAAAATGTTTATTATCTTACTCATATATTTTTAATCCTAGGATAGCATGGTGCTTGGCACAGAGCTGGTCTGGTGGACATACCCTAAAGAAGGCCCCATGATCCCTGCCTTCTGTTATTTATGTCTGTGTGCAATCTTCTCCCCTTCTAAGAAATAGAAGAACATAGTTGATAGAATATCAACCCTGTGATTATGTTATGTTATATGGAAAAGGCAAATGCAAAAATGAAGGGATTTTTAAATATTTAATTAAGATTAATTTTTAAAAACAATTTTTAAAGTTGTTTTTAATTTTTATGGATACATAATAGTTATGCATATTTATGAAGTGCATGTGAGATTTTGATACAGTATACAATATTTAATTATCAAATCTTGTAAATGGGGTATACATCACTACCAACATTTACCATATCTTTGGGGTGTTAAACCTTCTAACTAATTTGAAATATGAAATAGTTAATTATAGTCACCCTATTGTTCTACCAAACATTAAATCTTATTCCAGACATGATTTTGCTCCTCTTTTGCCTTCTGCCATGATTGTGAGGCCTCCCCAGCCATGTGAGTCAATTAAACCTCTCTTCTTTATAAATTACCCAGTCTCAGGTATGTCTTTATTAGCAGCATGAGAGAAGACTAATACATCTGCTATTTAATAATATTTCTGCTATATGATTTTTATTCTATTGTCTTTTGCTGGCTACAACTAAAGGGATTGGGAAAGATAATTTGAGTATATCTTAAGGAAACAAGTCATATATCCTCACGGTCATTCTCATGACATGAGCTTGCTACAAATGGCATGCTGTTTATTATTGTATCTATTGCTAATCTACTCCATCTCACCCCTATTAAAATAATCTGGTGGAAAAACAGTTTATTTTCTTAAGCAGATACAAAAACTTGACAAAAATATTCTTTATTTTCTGAGTATTTCCCTGTATTTTCTATAATTTTGTTTTCCCTTCTCTCTGCTCTACTTTATTTTTTCTTGTAGAGTTAATGGGTAATTTTTTTTCTAAATGTCATTAAAATTACTGACATTTTATTTTCTAATTTTGGAAATTTGGTATAGAAATACTTATAAGATCATATTTATGATAGAACAATGATGTAGTATTTAATTTATATACATATTTTCTCAATTTTCTTACCTGTGTTTTTGTTGTATTAGCTCAAATCATCAGATATTATTGTTAATCATAGCCTGTTTAAAATAAACTTGTTTTATTCATTCCACTACAGTATCCCAAAGATACACAGGTTGTTTTTTATAATTAGCAGGCATAAGGGCATAAAGAGAAGAGAGATGTTGGAAAACTCACTTAGAAGAACAAGGTGGAAGTGAGAAAAATGATTGAAATATATGTAACATATACATAATCGACTCAGTATAGTGAATGAGACTGCTACTATCATTGTTTTCATTTTAGAATGAAATATAAAAAAATGAAAAGAAAAGTCTAAACCAGTTCAAATTAAATTACAGTAGACCCACCTTATCTGTGGAGGTGGGTCTTATCTGTGCATCCCTGAAACCATGGAGAGTACCAATGCCTGTATATACAATGTTGTTTTCTGTATATATATACCTATGATAGTTTAATTTATGCATTAGTCACAGTAAGATATTAGCAACAACAATAATAAAATAGAACAGTTATAACAGTATGCCAGCATCACTACTCTTGTGCTTTGGGACAATTATTAAGTAGAATAAGAGTTACTTGAATACAGCACTGATACAACTACAGTCAATCTGAAAACCAAGGTAGCTACTAAGTGACTAACAGGTGAGTAGCATTTACAGTGTGGGTATGCTGGAGCAAGAAATGATTCACATTTGCAGCGGAACAAAGTGGAATGATGGGAACTGCCATCATGCTACTCAGCGTGGTGCACACTTTAAAAATATGGGAATTGTTTCTGAACTTCTGTATAAATTTATTTCTGGAATATTCCATTTAATATTTTTAGAGCATGGTTGACTGCAGGTAACTGTGACCACAGAAAACAAAACCATAGATTAGAGGAAATGATTGTACAAATATGGCAAAGTAGGTATGCAAAATAATTAGTTACATAACTGCTAGGCCTTATCCTTACTGTATATAATAAACTAAATTTCACCTCATTGGAAAAATAAAGGCCTATGAAACATGTAAACCAAAAAGTAACCGAGGCAGATTGCAATTGATTGGAGGTTTATTTTGCCAAAGTTGAAGATGCACCCAGGAAAAATAAACACAAATCAGAGTAGGATCTCTGACCTCTGCTCTTTCCAAAGATGGTTGTGGAAACTTCAATGAAAGGTTAAAAGCAAGCAGTAAGGGAAAATGAAAAAATAAAGGAGAGAGGGTAGGCAATGAGTTACGTGATTATATTATTATGAGACTTTGATTAGTGCTCAGTCAGTCTACATTTTACATGTGAAAAGGAAGGGAGTAAAGGAAAAAGTCAATAATACACTTGTCTTATACTCAGTAAATCTACATTTTGCATAAGATAAACTAAGCATGTAAGATTACAGATATCTGCTTGGGAGCAAAAGGAAGGTAGTTTTTTGTGTGACTTAGTTCCCAAGCTAAATTTTCCCCCTGACATAGTGAGTTTGGAATACCAAGATTTTTTTTTTTAATTTCACAAACATCGCTATTTTAAAAGAAAAATTACATATAGTTTGAGCTAGATTCAAAATGCTTCATTCATATATCAGGTATGTAACATATCACCTTCTAGGTTATATTTTGGAATACTTGACAAGCTAAATAAATATACTGAAAATTACTAGTGTAATTAAATTCTAAACAAGTTCTAAGTGAGGAACTTATGCTAATAATTTCAGTACAATGGGATATATATAATGATACCAGCAGCATAGATTTAGAATTAAAATAAATAAATTAGTATTAACATTGATTAAAATATACAAAGGGAGCCAGGACAACTTCAGAGAAGTGATCAGAGAAAAAAAAGTTAAAATATGTCAGTTTTGTGTCCTATGATCATGAGAACTGATATAACAAGCTATTCCACATTGATAACAGAGATTTTTCCTTCAGGCATAAGGACCTTTCTTTGACACATGGGAGTGGGGAACACACCTGAATTATACTGATATATACAATAAAATATTGTACAAAATATACAATAAAATATCTCATCAGAGCTTATTATTATGGAAACAGAATGATTTGAATGAACATTGCTTCATTCTTTTCCATGAAACTACTAACAAGATAAGACACGATATAAAAATTAAAAAATAAGATTTGAAATTTTTCCGATATCAAAGTCATTTATTTTATTTTCTAAAACTGTTGAATACCAGTAAATTGACCAGTTTTTATTTAAAGCAAAAATAAATAAAATAATTTTATTATCTAGGATGATTTTTTAAAATAGTAGCAATTTTAACATTGAATCAGTTTTGATTCCATTAAACATTATTTGTCAAACTGGATTGTATTCTATCCCTCTGTTTCTTCTCAGAGGCTACTGTTTTCAGATATGTTTTACCACCCACGTGATCCAAAGATAGAGGCACCAAGATTTTCTGTAATAAGTGGAAAATAATGTGCCCGTAAGTCTATTTCTCTGTACCTGGTCCCCTATCAATAATATGAATTTTACATTAGAATTTTTTTTAAGCTGCATGAGTCTTCTTAAATTATAATGCTCTCTTTTTAATGTTTACCAAAATCATCACCAAGAGTAGTCACCTTCCAAAATTCGTTGGTCCAACAAAAACACAGTAGAGTGAAGGGCCTGCTCCCATCAGAGCTTGCAGATAACTGAACATTTGCAGGCTTTCAGATGAGAATCAGTTGCATGCAGGGAGGGTGATGCACCCCAGCTCCACTGGGACAGAAACTCCTGTGATCAGTACCTTTCTAGACTTTGCCCTATGTATGCCTTGATTTGGCTGTTTATTAATATTTTTTATAATAAGCTGGTTGATATGAAAAAATTAGATTATATGAATTGATTAACTTAAAGTAAAAATTCTTAATATTATATAAATTAGCCTTAATTTGTCATATGAGAACACAACATTCTTAAATAAATTAAAGAGACTTCCTAAATATTTCCAAAGTAGTTCAACAATTGAAGCATCTGTAAACATACAATCCAGAACTGTTGATCTTTCCATATATGCACAAACTTCATAATAATGATGGAAAAATAAACTATTTTAAATTGGAAAATGTATAAGATTTCAAAAAGTTTCTGTACATCTGAAAATAATTGGTAAAGCACTAAAATATCAATTAGAACCCGGACCCTTACACTGTATGAATTTAAAGTAGGTTGGTCTCTCGGTAATGAATTTGTTTCATTTTTAAAATGTTTATACTATCATTTGTGTAGCCTACTGGGCAAGTGTGCACTGTAAGTTAATATGACATATGGCAACACATTATACTATTGTCTCTCACACTGAGATAAAATGTTCTGAAATCTACATATTGTAAATAAAATATGTAATGTATTATATACACACATAAATATATAATAAATATACATATAATACACATATATAATTATACACATATATAATAAATATGTGTACACATATAATATATACATATGTATGTACACATATAATATATACATATATACATATGTATATATAATTATATATATATGTATATATAATTATATATACATATGTATATATGTATATAATATATGTAAATAATATATACATATACAATATTGTATACAATATGTATTATTCAAATAATACATAATATTACATAATATGTATATTTATATTTATATTACATATTATATTATATTATATTACATATTACATTTATATTACATATTACAAATAATACATAATATTGTATACACATATAATATATAATAAATATGTGTATATATAATTATATATGATATATTTATTATGGATTATATGTATATACAATGTATACATATACAAAATGTGTATGTATATTATATATGTAATATTATGTATACTATATATATTAATATATGGCATGATTACAACTTCTTTATTAACTACTTGGAAACCATTGAGAAGAGGAAATTTCTACTTGTTACCATCATTCAAGAGAACAGCAAACTATATATTGAAGTAGGTAAAATAGACTTTCTGATACTAAATATGTACATGGTATGTCTGTTTCCTTTTCTACTTTTTGTTATGTGACCCTCCCTGTCCATCCCAAGTGTCTTGAGTTTTGTCGTATTTTCAATTTCCCAAATCTATTTCTTCCTACACTTAAGCACTATATGGATGTATCATTATATGTAATCATTTCCCCTCAGTGGTTTTATTTATTTATTTATTGGCTTCTTGAGGGCATAATTTATACATTTCAAAAGACATATAAGCAAGCCTAGTGACTAGAATTTAATTAGTACTATGCCAAAATTTATTTAATTCATCGAGAAAATAATGAAGTCTTCAAATGGTACATTTTAGCTGATGTCATAGCCTTACAATAAATGCATGAAGATTTTGCCATAAGACTAGGAGGAAATGCAGCCAGTGTTAACCTAAATATAAAAATATTTTCACCATATTTCTAAGGACAAAGTCATATTAAATAATTATAATCAATATTATAACTGTATTTTAGCATAGATTTGTACATTGATGCAAAACCATTAACTTTAAGTAGATATAAGTAAACAATTGTGAGGTACTTAATATTGGAGATGTATTTCCATTTGCAAGAGTAATAAAGTTATTACTTAACAGAAAGGAGCATTACTAACCTGAGTAACAGTAGAATGTTTTCTTGAGATGCAGTAGTTTCAGTTATAGTTTCATAAATTTTTCGTCTTTTTTATAAAAATACAATTCAAGACCACATTGTTATTTCATCATATGCTGTTATTTTCTTAAAAGATTTTTGTGATTTTCTGCTATTTATAAACATTTAAATGACGCAAACATACTGACATCCAACCAATTTGCCTTTGGCTCTAATTTAATATTTTTGCTGAATATTAATTTTTATACATAGAAACTATATGTTTTGCAGGTATTTCTTCTAATGTGAGTAAAGGGTTCTGCCCAATTAATATTTTTCCATAATAGTCTGGGCAGTAACTTCATATAAGTGAACAAGGCAACTCTGGTATTTCTCTCCAACTTCTTTTAGCATCTTTCCCTTTATTAGGGACACAGTTCAGAACATATCAATCTTGTCACTAAAAAACTTAAAGAGAGCAAAAAATTATTACTTGTGTAACTGTATTTTAAAGTAGCTCTAAAGAATCTGAAGAGATTGACACTGTAATTCTGAAAATAAGTGCAGTTCAGCTGAATAGTGCCCAAACTATTAGTCATTAAAACAAGAAAGAGACATATTATTTAGAGAAGTCTTACTAATTTGCCAATATTGAAATAATACCAAAGCCATATATACAACAGATTAACTGCTCTGTTTTATGCATCATAAAAGATTACATTTCTTTTTTAAATATGGAGACTATATGAAAATTGTGATTTCTTACAGAAATTGTAGTGGTAAAAAGTATATTTCATGTATGCATTTATCTCTCTGTCCATCTACCTGTACTCAAAAAAATGGGTTTATTCAACAATATTTTCTGAAATATCCCATCAAATTCATATTAGGTAGTCACTTGCCTACATGAATCAAATAGAAATTTGTGACAAATATGTGGATAAATGTTGATGTCATATTTAAATTCATATTTAAATTGATACTACTAATGTATTTTCTAAGTGATAATGAATTAACATTGTAGGTTGCAAAAGAAGGCAAGCTAAAGATTTGGTATAATTATTTATAAGGCTGTGGGAATTTAAATAGAACAAAAATAATTTGGGTGTTTTACAAATGCCTAACAACCCACACATTGCTTTACATTCAATTTCTTTTGTTACCTGTCAAAGTTCAGCATGAAACTCATAAAAGCAAAGAAGCATTTTGCCAAGCATCTTTTCTAGTGACATGAAAAAGGCTATGAAAATTTAATACTGTGGTACAATTTTATGTAACAGCCACCGACATTTTGGTTGTAAATGAAAATGCTTTCAAGTGTATTAGTATAGTGGAAGATAATTTTCCTAAACATATTTTGTTTAATTGTAATTCTGTGTTCAATAGCATAAGATAAATAGAGAACTTGTTATTTTCCTACTAAATAAGGGTTATATACTTTGGTGGATATCTGTGAGTGTGTGTTTGTGCGTTGCATTTGTGTATAACTTGATGGTAAGTAGTAAAATCAGGGCATTGCTTGAGAAATCGTAATCCTGAGCCCAATTACCTGTTAATTGTGAGATATTAACATAGTTTTCATGCAGTTTTTGTTTCTAACTTTGATTGCCATTCCTGACTCTCCAATTCCACTTCTTCCCTTTTTTGCCATTTTCTTTTCTTTTACCTCAATTTTCTGTTGAATAATAACTCCAACATAGGATCCGGAACCACAGTATCTAGATGATCTGAGGTGACTCTGGATGAAGAATATCAAGTAAGTGAGAAATTTGTTTTCTAATAGGCCAAATCTTTAGTATGTGTCATTTTTAAGTGTAAACCAAAATGTGTCTGAGACGGGTTTCAATCAATTTAGAAGTTTATTTTGAAAAAGTTAAGGACATGCCTGGAAAAAAATAAAGGAGCACAAAAACCATAGGAACAATCTGGTCCCTGACTTTTTTCGAAGATGATTTTGAGGACCTCAATATTTAAAGGGGAAAAGCAGGCTGGAAGGGAAAGAGGAATGGTATGGTCCCATACTGAGTCCATGTGTTGTTGCAAGAGAAAAGGAGCAGACACAGGAAGTCAATTATGTGTTTGTCTCGCATTCAGTAAATTGACACTTGACATAAGGGAAAGTGAACATAGAGTAGCTACCTGCAGACAGATATATCTGGCCTTTTATCTGTAGCTATCTGCTTAGGAAGAAAGAAAAGCCAATTTCTTGCATGACTCAGCTTTCAGCCTAAGTTTTTGCTTTTGGCATAGTAAATTGGGATCCTGAGATTTTCTTTTGTTTTCACAGTGATAAGTTAAAATGTGTTTTCCTCCTTCTCAAAAGGTCCTGAACCAAATAACATTAGTGGATAATTTGAGGAAAATAAATATATCAAATAGAAAACTAACATAATATAGTTATTTTAAAAAATAGACTGTGGAGTTATACATGGTTTTGGGTTCTGGTTCTTCTCACTAATGGTGATTTGCCATCAACTCTACTACTTATCCTCTCAAAGCCTCAGCTCTATCTGTATAAAATGAAAATCATTCCTTTATTCAATAAACACTTTACAGCTTTAAATGGTAAAACTATGGTAGAACCTACAATAACCAATTTCTACTTCAGTGAAGAGATTACACAATAGAACCAATATTCTACTTACTCATGATCAGTCCATTCATAGGCTAATCTCTAGTAAATGCTCTCAATTCTGCTATCATAAGTCAATTTCATCTATTCTAAAACCTGTTTACACTTACTGTATTTGTGATTGTAGTTACAACACTTGAGTGAATATAATTATACCTGTTATCGATTGCCATGATAATGTTGCATAACGAGCAACTTAAAACATTAGTGATATAAAATAATCAATTCTTATTAGATTCATGTATATGTGGGGTTTAACTGTGAGCTTCGTTTGTCTTTCTGGCTCAGTCAAGCATTTGCAGTCAATTAACAGTCGGCTTACAGCTGTCCTCAAGTCAGCAGTTGGCTGACTGCCAGCTGGTCTAGAAAAGTCACAGATGGCATAATTTGGGCAATATTGCCCTGCCTCATGTCTATCTTTCATCTTCCTCCTGGCTACCTTGGGCATGGTTATGGCCAAGTTGCACATGAAAACAAGAGTATGCAAGTGCTTCTTCAAGTCTCTGTTTGCATCGTATCTGCTGACATCACACTGACCCAAGAAAATTATATAACCCACCAAGAAATTAGAATAAGGGAGCAATAACAGTTTTTATAACAAAAGGAATGGATACAGGTATAAGTGAAGAACTGGGGCTACTTTTACAAACTACTGTGGTTTACGGTCTAATAGCAGTTATTTTCCTGCATTCAAAGTATGCACATCCTAACTCAGGATACTCAAAGTCTCATCCAACATAGAATCAAGCTCAGAGTACAGAATCATAGGAACTATATCAGATCTGGATGTGACACCCCAATATAGAGAGTTATGAACTAAATAGCCAATTATGAAATAGGAATAGTATAAATACAGAACAAATTATCATGCAAAAGTGGAATGAATTGAAAACATTTAGTAGTCTTTAGCCCTAATGTCTTGTGGGGTAAATGTTACCATGTTCCTCTCATCCTGGGATGGGAAATGTTGTTTAAGCCCTGGTTCTTCTCCATTCGCCAGTACATTGTTCCACAGCGCTCTTGAATCTGTTTGTTGGAAGGAAGTTTCTTTGCAACATCATCCTTTTTGTTTATTTCTAAAGAAAGTATTAGAAAATATGCCTTTTGCTTAACTTTCTCAATCTACTTTCTTTCCATAAAACGATGAGAGGCTTTTATAAATCTTAACCAATCTTAGTCTCTTAACATAGGCTCATGGTGCTTCTCCATCAAGGTCTCAAAAATTCTTGACTATTAAAAAATGTTCTCAGGTTCTATTCAATGTGACAAAAGTTAACACAAGAGTTATTTCCAAGACTCTTTCTCTAGATTAAATCACTACCAATTTTCACATGGTAATATACTGTAGAAAACACCCTTAATATTTCTTTTTTTCCAACTTTTATTTCAGTTTCAGGGGGTACGTGTGCAGATTTGTTACATGGGAAAGCTGCGTGTCCTGAGGTTTGGTGTAGAGATTATTTCATGACTCGGTAATGAGTATAGTACCTGATAGGCAGTCTTTCTATCACCCTCCTCACATTCTCCACCCTCAAGTGGGCCCCAGTGTCTATTGTTCCCTTCTTTGTGTTCATGTGTACTCAATGTTTAGCTTCCACTTATGTGAGAATATGTACTATTTGGTTTTCTCTTCCTGCATTAATTAGCTTAGGATAATGGCCTCCAGCACCATTCATATTCCTGTAAAAGGATGTGATCTCAAACTTTTTTATGGCCGCATAGTATTTCATGGTAAATATGTGCCCAATTTTATTTTTATTCAATCTGCCATTGATGGGGATCTAGGATGATTTCATTTCTTTGCTTTTTGTTTTTTTTTTTTTTTTGAGACAGAGTTTTGCTTTTGTTACCCAGGCTGGAGTGCAATGGTGCGATCTTGGCTCACTGCAACCTCCACCTCCTGGGTTAGAGCGATTCTCCTGCCTCAGCCTCCCGAGTAGCTGGGATTACAGGCTTGTGTCACCACGCCTGGCTAATTTTGTATTTTTAGTAGAGACAGGGTTTCACCATGTTGGTCAGGCTGGTCATGAACTCCCAACCTCAGGTCATCCGCCTACTTCGGCCTCCCAAAGTGCTGGGATTACAGGCATGAGCCACCATGCCCGGCTTTCTTTGCTATTTTGAATAGTGCTGTGATTAACATGCATGCATGTGTCTTTATGGTAGAACAAATCAATTTATATTCCTTTGGGTATATATCCAGTAATAGGATGGCTGGGTTAAATAGTATTTCTGTTTTAAGTTCTTTGAGATACCTCTGAACTATAGCTGAACAGTAGTTCCACAGTAGCTGAACTAATTTACATTTCCACTAGGAGTGTGTAAGCATTCCCCTTTCTCTGCAACCTTACCAGCATCTGTTATTTTTTTACTTTTTAAAGCCATTCTGACTGGTGTCGGATGGTATCTTATAATGATTTTGATTTGCATTTCTCTAATGACTAGTGATGTTGAGTGGTTTTTCGTATGTTTCTTGGCCACATGTATGTCTTTTAAGAAATGTCTGTTCCTATCCCATTTTTAATGGGATTGTTTGGTTTTTGCTTAATTTGTTTAAGTTCCTTAGAGATTCTGGATTTTAGACCTTTGTCAGATGCATAGTTTGCAAAATTTTCTCCCATTCTGTAGGTTCTGTTTACTCTGTTTATAGTTTACTTTGCTCTGTAGAAGCTCTATAATTTAATCAGGTCTCATTTGTTAATTTTTGTTGCAATTTCTTTTGAAGTCTTCAGCATTAAGTCTTTGCCAGGGCCTATGGCATTTCTTAGGTTTTCTTCTAAGTTTTTTATAGTTTTAGATTTTTGTATCGTTCTGATACCAAAACATGGCAGAGACACAACAAAAATAAAATAAAACTTGAGGCCAATATCTCTAATGACCATAAATGCAAAAATCACCCCCTCAAACTCTAGCAAACGCTTAATATTTCTAAAGCCTATTTTGTACAACTGAACTGTCCTACATGGCACCATGGTAATTCTTTCAAAGGTCTTAACAAAAAGTATCACATCCAAACCTTTGGTTCTATTGTTAACCTGAGGCTATGCCTTAGTTTGATATATTTTGTTATTGTGAAAGGCTAGATTGGAGAAACAGTTTTAATTCTCATTCTAGTAAATCCTTGAATCTCTATTTTCCCTGTAATTTCTGCTTGTAAACTGGCCATGTTTTTTTTTAGACTGTATCATTCTTTTACAAACTTATAGAGATTTAGTGAAAGCAAACCTATATATTATTCTGCTTGGAAAACTGTTTACTTAGGTACTGAAGTTTACTATGTACTTTTTTATTTTTGAAGTTACTACAGGTGACTAGAAAACCATAATGTTCCACTCAACTTGACTAAATTTTAGACAGGTATCTTCCTGACTCTTGGCCCCTGGTCTCCTTTACCTTAGAATATTTATTTTAGCAAGTTTAGAATTGAAAATTATTTCTGTGTTCCTTTGATATATAAATCTGTTTTAAAGCTTCTTGCCAGTTTGACAATCCAAGAATGTCTTTCTCAGTGATCTAGTAGCCATCCTTTGAAATTTAATCATTAAGGAAAATAGATCCCATGTATCCCAGTTTTTGTGGAAGAGTAGAAACCTAGTGTCAGTGGTTTCCTCTCTCCCTGTTGTAGAACTACCTGCTGTCTTGAAGATAGAAGAAAGAGTACTTCTTTTGGTAAAGACGGTTAGCAAACACAGGTGGCTCACTATCCCCCACCCCAACTCTTAGCAACTCTCTGGCTACTTGGTCTGTGCTCTCTTCTCTATTGCTGGTAAGACTATCAGAATAAAATCAAGTTGTTTTGGGGCGCATCTTTTCAGGTGCAATTGTTTCTTTAACAGATGTTAGAGCTTTCACAAACATTTAGCCACCACAGAATGTGATTAGCCATTTTATAGTCTCTTCGAATAATTTTCTCACATTTTTTCCTTCTACTTCACCATTTTTTCTTGCTTTTGGGTTCCACTAAGGCACAATGCTTATGCCATTTTTTAAGATTTTATTTGGTTGTTTTAATTGGCATTTACTTTTGGCACTAATCTCTTCATCAAGTATATAGGGCCACGTTAATGATGGGTGAAAACCATCTTGGGCAACCTCGTGGCATTTAACAATCAAGGTTTATTCAGTTCATGGTTCACTAGGGTTCTGCTGAATTGGGCTGCTCTTGGCTAAATCTGGCTGAGCTCATTCATGTTTCTGTAATCCGCTGTTGTTTGGCCAGGCAGTTCTGTAAAGACTGTTGGCTTACGTCACATATGTAGAGGTCAGATGTTTATCAGATTATTTCGAAAGACCTTGACATGTACTACAGAGACAATGCGTCCGTGTGTCTTCCATTTCCTAGCAGGCTAACCTGGGCATGTTTCCATAGCCATGGCAGAGGTATCGTAGTGTAGGCAAATTTTGGAAACTCTTCAATTTTTATTTTTTAGTTTTGCGTGTCACAACTGCTTACAATTCATATAACAAAGGAAATTATACGGTTGAATCCAGACTCAGAGTAGGAAGCCTCTACAGGATTACGTTATGTAAGGCAGGAATGTAGGGATTGGTGGAAACTGGGATATCAACATAATAAATCTAGCACAACAGTACAAATCAATGACATCTGTATTATAAAAAAATCAGATAAATGTTTCTGTGAATTCTGTGGAAAGATTTAATAAAGGTAATTTCCAAATAAAGATTATCTATTGAATTAAATAAAATAGACAATTATAAAACATTGAGAATATGTATACAAACTTGAAGGAGTCTTTTCTCATAGTAATTCCCAAATGACTTTGCATTCTTAATCATTTTATAGAGATTAAAAATGGCCATCAAGGATATGGATATGATTGACCTGAAGAAAAAACAAGGGAAAAATCTAACTAGCAGACCCACATTGAATGAAATATTTTAGTAATATATCCAAAAAGTGGTGAATAAGTGATTTAATTTTAAATACAATTTTTATGATGTAGGGTTTTTTTAAAAATTGTAGTTTGTTTAAATTGATTTTTATCTGCATGCACAAATGCATATATGTCCTTATTTTACTTATTAAGAGAGCTCCTACTGTGAAGTGTTAAGTACTGTGCTGGCATATGATATGGACTCACTACATTGTGTGTTAATTCTGACAGTAATGTTTCTTTTTTTTTATTATTATACTTTAAGTTCTAGGGTTCATGTGCACAACATGCAGGTTTGTTACATATGTATACATGTGCCATGTTGATGTGTTGCACCCATTAACTCGTCATTTACATTAGGTATATCTCCTAAGGCCATCCCTCCCCCCTCCCCCCAACCCATGACAGGCCCCAGTGTGTGATGTTCCCCTTCCTGTGTCCATGTGTTCTCATTGTTCAATTCCCACCTATGAGTGAGAACATGTGGTGTCTGGTTTTTTGTCATTGCAGTAGTTTGCTGAGGATGATGGTTTCCAGCTTTAGCCATGTCCCTACAAAGGACATGAACTCATCATTTTTTATGGCTGCATAGTATTCCATGGTGTATATGTGCCACATTTCCTTAATCCAATCTATCATTGATGGACATTTGGCTTGGTTCCAAGTCTTTGCTATTGTGAATAGTGCCACAGTAAACATATGTGCGCATGTGTCTTTATAGCAGCATGATTTATAATCCTTTGGGTATATACCCAGTAACGGGATGGCTGGGTCAAATGGTATTTCTAGTTCTAGATCCTTGAGGAATCGCCACACTGTCTTCCACAATGGTTGAACTAGTTAACATTCCCACCAACAGTGTAAAAGTGTTCCTATTTCTCCACATCCTCTCCAGCACCTGTTGTTTCCTGACTTTTTAATGATTGCCATTCTAACTGGTGTGAGATGGTATCTCATTGTGGTTTTGATTTGCATTTCTCTGATGACCAGTGATGATGAGCATTTTTTCATGTGTCTGTTAGCTGCATAAATGTCTTCTTTTGAGAAGTATCTGTTCATATCCTTTGCCCACTTTTTGATGGGGTTGTTTGTTTTTTTCTTGTGAATTTGTTTAAGTTCCTTGTAGATTCTGGATATTAGCCCTTTGTCAGATGAGTAGATTGCAAAAATTTTCTCCCTTTCTGTAGGTTGCCTGTTCACTCTGATGGTAGTTTCTTTTGCTGTGCAGAAGCTCTTTAGTTTAATTAGATCCTATTTGTCAATTTTGGCTTTTGTTGCCATTGCTTTTGGTGTTTTAGATATGAAGTCCTTGCCCATGCCTATGTCCTGAATGGTATTGCCTAGGTTTTCTTCTAGAGTTTTTATGGTTTTAGGTCTAACATGTAAGTCTTTAATCCATCTTGAATTAATTTTTGTATAAGGTGTAAGGAAGGGATCCAGTTTCAGCTTTCTACATATGGCTAGCCAGTTTTCCCAGCAACATTTATTAAATAGGGAATCTTTTCTCCGTTTCTTGTTTTTGTCAGGTTTGTCAAAGATCAGATGGTTGTAGATGTGTGGCATTATTTCTGAGGGCTCTGTTCTTTTCCATTGATCTATATCTCTGTTTTGGTACCAGTACCATGCTGTTTTGGTTACTGTCGCCTTGTAGTATAGTTTGAAGCCAGGTAGCATGATGCCTCCAGCTTTGTTCTTTTGGCTTAGGATTGACTTGGCAGTGTGGGCTCTTTTTTGGTTCCATGTGAACTTTAAACTAGTTTTTTCCAATTCTGTGAAGAAAGTCATTGGTAGCTTGATGGGGATGGCATTGAATCTATAAATTACCTTGGGCAGTATGGCCATTTTCACAATATTGATTCTTCCTATCCATGAGCATGGAATGTTCTCCCATTTCTTTGTGTCCTCTTTTATTTCATTGAGCAGTGGTTTGTAGTTCTCCTTGAAGAGTTCCTTCACATCCCTTGTAAGTTGGATTCCTAGATATTTTATTCTCTTTGAAGCAATTGTGAATGGGAGTTCACTCATGATTTGGCTCTCTGTTTGTCTGTTGTTGGTGTATAAGAATGCTTGTGATTTTTGTACATTGATTTTATATCCTGAGACTTTGCTGAAGTTGCTTATCAGCTTAAGGAGATTTTGTGCTGTGACGATGGGGTTTTCTAAATATACAATCATGTCATCTGCAAACGGAGACAATTTGACTTCCTCATTTCCTAACTGAATACCCTTTATTTCTTTCTCCTGCCTGATTGCCCTGGCCAGAACTTCCAACACTATGTTGAATAGGAGTGGTGAGAGAGGGCATCCCTGTCTTGTGCCAGTTTTCAAAGGGAATGCTTCCAGTTTTTGCCCATTCAGTATGATATTGGCTGTGGGTTTGTCATAGATAGCTCTAATTATTTTGTGATACATCCCATGAATACCTAATTTATTGAGAGTTTTTAGAATGAAGGGCTGTTGAACTTTGTCAAAGGCCTTTTCTGCACCTATTGAGATAACCATGTGGTTTTTGTCTTTGGTTCTGTTTATATGCTGGGTCCACTGTCCTTCAGCACATTTAGGAGGTTACTACAGATTTTCTGTTGTAAATCTTGATATAAAATTTTTGTACATGTGTTTACCTAAATGTGGAATCCTGTTCCTTAAATTTCTTTCCATTGAAATTCCCAACCCTTTTTGCCTAGTCATTAAGTCTAAAGTTTCATCCAAGATCCTAATATTACTTCAGTCTCTACCTTCAGCCACTTGTAACTGCTTTCTCTTCAACTTTCATAGTGTACTTGGAGCTCTTTTATGTTATTGGACTCTTTATTTCTCCTTATATTTTCATGTGTCTCTGATGTTTATAACTTGAATTGTTAGGAAAGACCTGATCTCTTGCCTAGTGTAATCAGGGCTTGGATAAAATAGCAATTCAACATGGCAGAGCATTGGTGTGACCAGGTGGCTATATTGCATGTCCTTTAGCTGACCAGGACATGAAATGGAGGTTTATAGGAAATCAACTTCTTTTCCTGGAAGGCACCTTGGGGTAGAGCAGCTTGGACTTAATGCTGACCGTTCTGGTCTCTTCATTGATCCCAAAGGGTGCCCTCTAAGCAAACTATCTCTTCTTTCAGCACTTCTGTATAATTTCTAATGGGACTGGCTAAGATGCTATTTACTGATCTTGCTGAAGGAAAAGATTGTAAGGATACTACTGCCAAGGTAAAGATCATGTGTTTCTGAGGTAAACTGTCATGGCCACGTGTGAGAAAGAAAAACAATAAAAAAAAAAGAAGTGGGCTGTCTCTAGACGGCAATGTTTTAGCTAGGCAGACATTCACAGTTACAATGTGAGAGCTAATGCAAGGTTCACCTGAACCTGCAGCGTTATTTTCAAGTGGCTTCCAATTATCTCTGGCAAAGCCAGCTGCATGACTTGCTCAGCCTTGCCCCTCAGATACATTGTTGACAGTCAACTTCATTGGGAGGTACCACAGGTCTAATAAGCAAAGCAATGTTGTTAATAGCACCTGCAATAGCTATTTGGTCTTCTGAGGTAGATCCAGCTTGTTGGCAGATACAGGGAGAGTTAGAAAGATAAGACTACCAAGAAGCACCAAATAAAATAAACTGGGTGATGTTTCTCCCATGAAGACTCACTTTCAAGAGAGTATGCAGCTTACCCTCCTTCCCACAATTTTAAATGCTCTCTTCTTTCTAGGTGAGACATTTTCTAAAAAAGGATTTATCAATCTCTGCACTATTGACATTTTGGGCCAGAACATATTTTTTTGTCATGATATGCTATTATAGCATGTTTAGCAGCATTCCTGGCCTCTATTCAGATCCAGTAACAGCCCCTATTATTATAACCAAGATGTCCCCTGACATTCCCAAATGTACCTTCAGTGGAGACAAAAATCACCACCAATTGAGAACCAGTATTCTAGAAACATTCTTACCATACCCTGTAGCCATGATAGTAACCTCACAGCAGGGTTGAAGAAGTCATTTAATTACCACCAGATTATCTCACCCTCATGGTCAAAAAGTGGTCATAAAATATTAATTTGCACTAGCACTAAGTTTACAAAAATTAGCACACTACCTATGGTAGAATTATGGTGATGGGACCCATGTAGCACAGGATTCAGATAATTGGCCATCAACAACCAGGCAGAAGAAAGCAACAACTTCATGTTAGTGTTTGCTCTACCGTGAGTAAGCCATATTTATTGGCCAAATGAGGAAGTCAGGATAGAAGAAAAAAAATAAAGATGTCGGGGGCATCTGATCCCATGGGTACCTGTTCTATTTCTAGCTGTAGGTCCCTGTACCACAGTTGTGTTACTCATGTCATTTTCCCACTCGTAAACTCCTGGGATAACAGGAAACTGAAAACAGATGGATTACCCTATAAGTGATTTTTCTAGTTTTTTTCTCCCCAAGTGGAATACATTTGAAGGTGAGAGGTGGTATTATTAATACTTATTCTGAGAAAACAGGTATAATAAATACTGTGTTCCTGGAAAGGATGTTGTGGATGACCCTACCCAGTAAGGGAAAGCAGGCAGTCCCAATCTTTCATAATTGCCTTCCCCAAACTAGGCTAGGCCAGAAGGATCCTGTTTTACACTTCTCTAAGCTTGGTAAGAGGATGCAAAGACAAGCCATCTGATCCCATGGGTGCCTGTTCTTACTTATTAGATGCTTTTTTCTTCTCTAAGGATATTATTGAAATATACATTTTTCATTTCTTCTCTCTCCTCCAAGTTGTTTTTTTTCCCCTTTGGTTTCATTTCTGAGTTTGATATAGTGGTTTAATTAATAGTGTGGGGATTCTTGTCTGTCTGTTCTTATTTATGGGAGGGTCAGTTAAAAGCTAATTGGAGGGTCTATGCCTATTGCTGGGTAAATTGTGAGATTTACTAGGATTGTTTGTTCATTGGGGAACACTTATGTTACTTCATGTAAGATTGTTTTTTCCCCTTTGGATGGTGATATTCTAGCCTCATCTCCAATCCATGATATAATACAATATTCTACTACATGGGTGTTATAAGTCTGGCTGCGATCTTTACAGAAACCAAGTGAAAAGAGAGGGTGGGGACACAGTATTTACAATGTAAATGTAGATCAATTTCTCCCCTGTTTTTATTATATTTCATTTTCCAAGACATTTTTTGTCTTTTCTGTTATCTTTTTTTTAAAATATGTTTTATAAAAAGTCATTTTCTGTCACTAGTGAGGTTTGGTGAATATGGAAGTAAAAGCATCAGTTCAATCCGCCTTATTTATTCAGAAATCATATCCTGATTTTCTTAAGAAAGAAGACACATTACAATAAATAAGAAATTGGAGGCTTAAACTCTTGATATTATAACAGTATCCCTCAGAAAGCTATCAGAACTGCATCAAGACATTTTTTACTACAGTGCCAAGTTACAAAATGAGGAATTGTGATCAATTCAAGATGCTAACCTTCCAGTGAAACTCTATTAATACAAGTCTATCTATTAGTCTGAAAGATTTCCCAGAAACCCTAGTAAAATCAGTCAGTAGATCTTTTTTTACCAACACAACCAAGCTCAATAGAGAGAAAAGCTTCAGTTACAGGAACAGTGATTAAATCCCATACCATTTGTATCACTACCTTTAAACTTATGAGGCACCAGCTGTTGACTCCAGTTCTATTGCTCATAAATGGAAGAGTATACATTAATATCCCTGCAGTATAAAACATTCCCAAAGGTAGAGCAGAACCATTGGCGAATACATTTACATGAATTTTAAATATTTTTTATTCAGTGTATGCAGACACTTTCTGTGTATTATATCTGACATATATTTTTAAATAACTTGATGTCTTGGTCAATACTAATGCTTTTAAGTTGTGCATTTTATATTCTAAAATATTGTATTGGTAAGTTCCTAGCTACAGGAAAGAGAACATGAAGCCGGTTTTCAGTTGTTCAGATTTAAACAAAAACTATGTTTTTCCTTTCAACTTATTCCTTTGATTTTAAGACAGCATAACTCACTTGTTCAATCCTTAGACCACACATGTCAGATATTTCAAGTTATACTTTTCTCTACTCTGTCATGTTAAACAACAATACTCCAATATGGTGAAATATTAGAAGTGCGGTCCTGTTCTTACTTTTCCTCTGATAGGCTCTGACTGTTTGCATAAATAAACCATATAAATAAAAATGATGCCAAAGGTATTTCTACTACTTAAGTAAGTTATAGGCAGTGCGAAAGTAGGAAGTCTCCATTAACTAAAAGTCTGAGGCTCATCAATAGCAGGTTCATGTCCTTTGCAGGGACATGGATGGAGCTGGAAACCATCATCCTCAGCAAACTAACACAGGAACAAAAACCAAACATCACATGTTCTCAATCATAAGTAGGAGTTGAACAATGAGAACACATGGACAAAGGGAGGGGAACATCACACACTGGGGCTTGTTGGGGGGTTGGGGGAAAGAGGAGGGAGAGCATTAGGACAAATACCTAACGCATGTGGGGCTTAAAACCTAGATGACGGGTTGATAGGTACAGCACATCACCATGTTGTATGCCTGTGTAACAAACCAGCACGTTCAGCACATGTATCCTGGAACTTAAAGTAAAATAAAAAGGAGAAAAAATAATAATTCTGACATTCAATTTTATGTAAGTGGAAATGTAATCCAAGAATGCTAAATATGACTGTAAGAGCTAGTAATTAAATAGTTTCAGCAGGATCCCTCTTTCTTTTCTTACAGCACACATGTAATATAAATTCATTTTATCTTATTTAATCATTAAAATGATTAAATAATAAAATATCATCTACAGATATAATATATGCTCTTTAAAAGTTATGTGACCTAGTATCATTGCAAAAATGAGCAAGTTCTTTTGGTGTTTTATGATATCAATTCTGTTGAAACTATCCTTAATCAAGATGTAAAATATTAAGTGTGTTGATTTTTTTAAACTTTGCCATCTCCAAATATTGCTAAGAGGCATCATTTCTAATGTTTCTAAACTAAGTAAACATACAGCTAGAAATCACTTGTCCCTTAGAAAACCCAGATTGATATATATGATATGCCCAGTCTCTAGCACCAACACAATATCAATTTTGGTAATAAAAAAGAAAACCTGAAAAAAAATATGCATCTATAGGAATTCCAGACCTCAAAATGTATGTGCAAAAAAGATAATATTGTTTAAAAAATGCTTTTACAAAATGTCAGAATCTGATTTTCTATAGTAATTTAGTGAGTTAATTGTTTTATTTCACCTGAAAATATTGATGGCATAAACCTTCTTTTTTATTTTTAATCACATTTAAATTGTTTCTGATTTTAGCATAACCATGCCCTTCAATAAACCTATGTTTCGTCCTTAACTGATTAATATTTGAAGGATTCTTCTCGTCAACGTTGCATCAGTCCATTCTATTATCTCCTTAAAATTTCTACAGGCCAAAAAATATTTTGCATCCCTCATAAAACTGATTTTACATTTAAATGCAATTCATTCTGCTAAAAACTAATCCTTGAATAAAGAGTGATTTTGTCCTGGTTGTAAATATAGGGCTACAGAATTGTGTCAACTAAATATCTTAAAGCATTTAAATTAAATGAAATACAATGCTGCATAATACTATCCATATACGCATAGAGAGATTATCTTTAATATATATTTTTACCAAACTAAGCCCAATTAGTGTTTCAAAATGTTTTAATGCTAACAATCTGGGAAAAAAATGAAAAGAACATAGTCTTCCAGAATAGATTACATTTTATAAATGTACATAAGATGCTGAAATGTAGATTTTATAGAGAAATGTAAATCTTGTGCTATTACTAGCATAAATTTACTTATATCAATTTTAGCTTCATGTTTAAATAATTTAAAACAATTTATTACCCTGCTACCCATTTAATTGACCTCTTTCCTATTGCTTACATCAAATTATATGCATTAAAAATGATAACTGTTATTTAATTTGATGTGAAAATCAAATTACAGACAATGGACCCCATAACAAGGATCAAGATTAGTTTTATAGATCATACATTTATAGATCATAATTTGATCACGATTGTAAAAAACGTTTGCAAGCAATTGACAATATAAGTCAGCAGAAAAACTCAAGGCAAATAAATCATCCTGAAATAATTCTGGCAAAGCTTTGTTATTTTTTCCTAAATATTATTTCTCTTATAAAAACTGTTATCTTTGTTTGCAAAGAAAGGGTACTCATTTACACAAGTGCATTTATAATGAGGATCCTTTGAGACATAAGGGGACAGAAAACCATCCCAGCAACCGCACAGTTCAGTCTTTTGAAGAATAACAATGCCATTTAAGGTACAATAGAGTTTCAAGATCTCTAGTCTGACAGTTGCTCTGATTACTCAAAGTTCTAGCATTAGTTCCTTCAGAAGAAAACATTCATTGATCACTATTCTTGTGACCCATCACTATGGATATTCAGTCTCTTTTTGTCTCTAATCTATGTAATTATTTGATGAGTAAAATTTAGGCATAAATAGTGAGGATGTATCATCTTATTATTCTCATGGAGTCCTTTAAATTCTTTCTGGAGGTTATGGTATGCCATCGCAAACCTCTTTTAGGTACTTATATCCCCAGCTTCTGAGAGTATTGGAAGCTAACAATGCTCAGCTGAATCCATCTCCAGGAATTGTCATCAGTCAGGAAGAGCTACTTTACTCTGGGTCACTCTTTTCCAATCCCATTCTAATGATTGGTCTATGCAATTGTACGAAGGTCTGGCTTTATTCCTCAGGGAATAATTCCATTCTAAGTCTATGGCACCCTGTCAGATTGACTGAGGTGATTCATCTTACTGCATCTCAGTTCGACTCCTCTCTGTGTCCAATTATGTTTCCTTCTTACAAGTGTTGGTCCAGCACAAAAATCTCCTCATAGAGTCTATTTCCCAGAGAAGCCAATATAAGAACATTGGTACTAGGAGTGCTCCAAGGTAGTAGACATTAAGTAAAGACTTTGGACATGGATCAGCCACCAGCAGGCTGGTGATGAGGACATTATTATTGCTGAGGCAGGAAACATACGGGTGGGTGCAATGTCTTAATTTTTTTGTGAAATATAGGTGAAATATTAATGATAAAAACTAAGATAGTGAATGGTGTTGTTGGAGCAAACAATGGATCATAAATAGATAGTGAAAGGTTGAAGATAATTAATCACGTTTTAGGTAAAGTGTGAGCATCAGAGGAATTATATTTATGAAAAAGCTACAGAGTGTGGTCAATATGGTAGAATCCAAGATAAGATCTATGAAAATAGCTACTGCAGATGATAAAACAGGAGATATTAATCCAACTAATCCAAGATTAGTTGGATTAATATCTCCTGCCCTCTGTCATAATATAGTCTGAATTGATATGGACAATCTGTAAAATAACACATTAGTCATTCTGTTAGTCAACTAACAGTGACATCTTCTTAACTGAGTACATAAGCAAGAATTGACACGTAAATTGGAGGTAAGATGTGGTAAACACTTTTGCTCCAGAACACAGGAGATGTAAATTTTTTCAATTCACGGCTTAACCACACAAGTGATTTTTTTGTTTGTTTTGGCGATCCAGGTATCTAGAGGATGTGGGGACATACTCTCTGAAGTAAAGGAGAAATGATTACATCTTACATGTCATACCACTAAAAAAGAAATGACACATCTGGTAGTCTTCTGGTTCTATAGGCAAGCAGCAGCATATTTCACACTTGTAAATAATACTGTACCACTTTTACCAAGAGACATAAAAGATTATCAGGTTTGAGTAGGACCCAAAATAGGAAAGGGCTTTGAGATCCAGATAATGATTCTAACAGCCCTGTCATTTGATCAGTATAACTCGACAGACATTAGAGATGTAAGTTTTGTTTTTAGAAAATATTCTTTGTGAAGTTTATGGCAACCCTAGTATGAAAATCACAGTTTTGAACTTGTTGACTAATGGACCAGCTTTTGAAATATGCAACAAATAATTGTACAGTGTACAAAAATATCTCTGATATGCTACAGGCCTGACAGAGACAGAGAGTATGACCAAAGGACAGGAAGTGACCATGGGATCAGGACTGCCCCATCATAAGCCAGGTTCAGTCAGAGCCAACAAGTCAAAGGTAGAGCTGGCCCGACAGGAATCTGTTTTATGGTAGAAGTGGTATGTTTAAGATCAGAGGCAATCAGAAGAGGATACAAATACACTGTATGAGTACATAGCCCCCATGTCATCCACTACTCTCACTCTGGAGCTTCTTCCTCAGCTCAAACCTATGTCTCCATTGGGTTTCCTTATAAGTAACAAATAAAGAAGGAAAAAGGTAAAGCTTGATTAATAGATGGGTTGCTAATCATAGGGTGCAAGCTGATAAAGGACGGCTGCTGCACTAAAGCTAAAATCAGAAGTAGTCTTGAACATCAATAGTTAGGAAAAAATCCTCCCAATAGACACCATTTCACCCACTTTGTGTAGAAAGAGCAGGCCAAGGTAAAAATATAGTCTGACTAATGGAAATGGTGAATAGCTTGGCTGTTTATTCCATGAACCTAGGAAAAATGGAATATTTAACATAGGAAGAGACAAGCTGATTAACTTATAGATGTGAGCATAAAATGTGAGGATCTTTGAATCCTATGCTAGTGTTCCCTAAATAGAATTCACTATGGAAGAGGTACTAAATAATCAAATAGACAAAATTACTAAGTCAATTGACATCCACTAGCATCTGCCATCAGCCTGTCTAGTTCTAGTATAATGAATGCATGCAATGAGTAAGAATAGAGTCAGGGACAAAGGCTAAACGTAGTCCCAAAAGTATAAGCTTTCATTTACCAAGGCTGATTTATGTAGATATGGTTGCATGTCTGTTCTGCCAGCCATAGACCAATGCTGAACTCCTGACCTATAATTATACTTTGAAGGAATCAATACATTTTTGGGGGGCAGGTTGATAATATCAGGTCCATTCCACTTGAAAGATGAAGTGATTCATGTGGATTACAATTGATTTCCATTATGGACATGAGTTTGCATTTATTGGCTGCAGAACTTTGGTGAGAACTTCTCTATCCAAGACCTACAGAGTGTTTTGTTTTACTGACATAGGATCCTGTATAATATTATATTGAAACAAGGAATACACTACATAAAACACAAGATGAAGCTCTGGATATATAATGGAATCCACTGAATAAGTAACTAGTAAAGAACATTAATACTTGCCAACCTTCCCCAAAGTGTGAGAAGTTGGAGCTTAGCACCAGAGTATATTTACTGGGCTTCAGGGCTTTTTCCAATGCTGGATGTGATCAAAATGAGGGATTTCTGTTGTGCTTGAGTATCTGCAATAATCATGGGTAATACTATGACTTCAGGACTGCAATACTGTGAACAATATTAGTCTAAGGTAAATGACATGGAGAGATACCTTTCTATTCCTTTCTCTTTTAACCCCTGAATAACATTATTGACTATTGTTGCCATCTACTCAGCTATGATCAGAGACTACTTTAAATTGTTCAATATTCCTTTGCAAAATAAATTCCACCTAGCAGCAACAGCAATTTTCCAGTTCTCCTTCTGCATGGGTGGCCCTGAGTGGAACACTTAATTTGCACCATGGTTTGGTATGTTTAGACAAGTGAACTGGAGAAAAGTGGGAGGGGTCACTCTGGTGACGTCTGGAAAGGTCTTTGGTTAAAACCAGAGTCTTTGGTTAAAACCATGGCTAGTGGTCTTTCTGAAACAACTAATTACACAATGACAGACCTAGATGCCTTTTTCCAAATATGTAGAAATATATAACCAGGAACTAGGAATGCAACCAAGGACACTGGGGAGGGTAGTATGCCATATGATGCCAAATATTATTGATACGTACAGGAGACAGAGAAATACTGGGCTGAAGAGGCAGGTTCCCTGGCAAAGGCCCCACCTTCAGGCCTGGAGACCCGTGGCCCTAAATGGGAACAGGCATTTCTGTTTTTGTGCCCAAAAACTTGCCTTTTGTCCTGTCATGCCTCCTATCCTATACCCATATAAACCCTGAACCCCAGGCTACAGGATCAAATGAGCAGATGAGGAGATGAGGAGACAAGCAAATGAATGGCAGAATGGCTCCACAGAGAAAGAGAGAAGAGGCAGAATGTTTGAACACTGAGAGGAGTTCAGCTGGGGTGGTCGGAGAGGAGTTTGGCTGTCTGGCCAAAAAGAAAGGGAAAGGTCACCTTCCTACTCCATCCCCACTGTTGGCTCCCCATCCATCCTGCTGAGAGCCACCTCTACCACTCAGTAAAACAGAAAATCTCCCGCATTCATTCTTCAAATTTCTGTGTGCCCTGATTCTTCTGGAATGCTGGACAAGAGCTCAGGATACAGAAAGATGTCACACTGGCTCTCTGCACTTGCAAAAAGGCAGAGGGTCCACTGAGCTGGATTAATGCTGAAGCCATCTGTGGACAACAAGGCTAAAAGAGCACACTAACACACACCCACTTTGGCTCCTGCACCTGTCCATCTGTGTACTCCCCTTCCCATAAGGGGTTTGAGCAGCAGTGGCCACTGAAGAGATGAGCCACACCCCTGTAAAACATCCTGTGAGGGGGATCAGGGAACTCTCCTATTTCAGTATGGGTTTGGTGGTAAAAAGGCAATTGCAGAGAGTCAAGTTGATGGCTTGGCACTATCATTACTAATAAAATAATATTGTACTTTTCACAGTCTGGTGCAGAGAACACTAAAGATTCTGTATTTCTGAACATATTTCAGCACTGCAATAAAGGTACCAGAAATAAAATTCTTGGTAGACAATATGCTAAAATCTATTGAACCCAATTACACAATTACCCATAATGTTGCAGACACACTACAGGTTTGGTACTAAAAAGGCCAAGGAAACTGTTGAGTTTTGAAGAGTTTAAGCAAAATAACTTACTTTTATCAGTGAAATGTGTTATTGCCTTGAAAAGCTTTTGTGAGACCTGAAACCATAAAGCCCTTAAAAGAAAACAGGGTAAATGCTACTTGACATTGGTCTTGGCAGTGATTTTTTTTACATATGACACAAAAAACACAGGTAATGAAGGCAAAATAAACAAGTGAGATTGTTTCAAACTAAAAAACTTCTGCACAGCAAAGGAAACAATCAATAAAATGAAGAGGCAATGTACAGAATGGAAAGAAATATTTTCAAACTGTTTATCTGACAAAGGGTTAATATCCAAAATATATAAGGAATTCCTACAGCTTAAAAGTAAAAGAAAATAAATAACCTGATTAAAAAATGGACAAAACACCTGAATAGACATTTCTCTAGAGAAGACATACAAATGACCAAAAGGCATATGACAAAAAGAATAAAAAAACTCAACACTAATTACTGGGGAAACTATTAATCAAAGCCACAATGAGATATCACTTCACACTTTTTAGGATGACCAATATTTTTTTTTAAAAAACAATGATAAGTGTTGGTGAGGATGTGGAGAAAAAAGAATGCATGTGCACTGTTGATAGAAAAGTATACTGGTACAACTTTTATGGAAAACAGTATGAATGTTTCTAAAAAAATTAAAAATAAAACTACTGTATGATCCAGCAATCCTACTTCTGGATATTCATTTAAAGGAAATGAAATCAAGATCTTGAAGAAATCTGCACTCTCATGTTCATCACAGCACTATTTACAATAGTCAAAATACGAAAAAAAACTAAATATCCACCAACAGATGAATGGATAAAGAATATGTGATATATACATACATTGAAATACTATTCATTCTTAAAAAGAAGGAAATTCTGTCATTTACGACAGCATGGATGGACTTGAAGGACATTATGCTAATGTAAAATAAGTCAATTTCAGAGAGACAATTACTGTATGGAATCTAAAATTGTCAAATTCATAGAAGCAGTGAGTGAAATGGTGGTTGACAAGAGCTGGAGTGAGGGGGAAAAGGGACGATGATGAAAAAAAGGTGTACGGAGTTTCAGTGTGCAAGGTAAGCAAGTTCTGGAAATCTATACAGTGTAGTGGCTATAGCTAACAATACTGATTTATGTACTTAAAATTTGCTAAGGGGCAGATTTGTGTTAGGTGTTTTTGCCATCCACACACTCACATACATACACAACATACACACGCAAAATAACAAAGGGTGTGAGAGAAAACTTTGAGAGGTGATGGTAGGTCTTTGACCTTGATGTTGGTTATGGTTTCATGGTGTACATGTATCTCCAAACTGATCAAGCTTTATACGTTAAAGATTCACAGTTTTTTGTATGTCAATCATACTTCAATAAAGTACTTTGAAAAAATAAAGTATTTACAAAGTTTAAAGAGATAGTTATAAGCTAAAGTACATTAGTCCTCTTACTCTGGGAAAAGTGCTAACAAATCCTTTCAATTTATTGACAAATTTAATCTTGTAATAACTTTCTAACTCCATTCCCCTGGAACCTGATTAAAAAATGAAGTGTCATCTTTGTTACAAGGCAATATTGATTATTTTAAAATGAACTCTGATTGGGAAAGTTTATCTGGATTGGGAGCACTGTAAAAAAATAAAATACCTAGTTGAGAGCTATATGTTAGAATATCCTTAGTGACATTGGAATAGAGAATATTCCCAATAATGATCCCTCAGTATCTATGTCTGTGGGATTGTTGTAATAAATTTTGGTTCTTATTTGGAACATGGGCTTCTAGGCCAAGGTGACTCTACATCACACCCAACTGAGTCTCATTTACTAACTATTGAACTATAACATAAGGTGCCATAATATAACCCCAGGACTGCTCTACGGGCTGCTCTGAGTATTTCCACTAAGGAGAAATTCCTGCTGTTGCCCTGCTGTTGTGTTCTGATTTTTTCATCATGTATTATTCTAAATGAACTTGCTACTAAGTGTGGCCTTACCCAAATCTCATGAGTCTGAATGTTTAAATAAGTCTAAAATGAACCCCCTCCTATTAAGTATTGCATTCCTTTTCCAAATAATGCTGTGAATAGAAATAAGGATGCACTTTCTTGCATTGCAAGGTGACATGGGCTGGTGTCAACAGAAAGAACTACAGTAGCATGCTTCTTGACAATGTTTCAGTCAATGAAGAACTGCTTGTATGACTGTGGTCTCATAAGGTTATAATGGACCTGAAAAATTACTATCACCTAGTGATGATGTAGCTGCTGTTAGGCTGCAGCTCAATTACTTTATTTTAGAAAACAAATTTAGTGTACCCTAAGTGTATAATGTTTGTAAAGTCTACAGTAGTGTACAGTAATTCTCTGGACCTTTACATTTACTCACCACTCACTCACTGACTCACCCAGAGCAACTTCCAGTTCTGCAAGCTTCATTCATGGAAGTACTGTATATAGGTGTGCCATTTTTAGAATCTTTTATACTCACTTTTACAGTAAGCACACTGTAAAAAGATACTATACTTTTACAGTATAAAAGATCCCATAAATGGCACAACTGTATACAGTATAAAGATTCTAAAAATGGCATACCTGTATATGGTACTTCCTGGGGTTATATTATAGCACCTTAGCACCTTATGGTATAGTTCAACAGTTACAAAATGAGACTTAGTTGGGTGGAATATAGAATCACCTTTGCCTAGAAGGCTAAGTTCCAAATAAGAATGAAAATTAATTAAAATCTATGTTTGCATACACTAATACTATTGTGTTACAATTACCTACAGTATTCAGTATACTAATGTGCTATACAGGTTTGCAGCCTAGGAGCAATCGGCTATACTATAGGACCTAGGTGTTTGGTAGGCTATACCATCTAGGTTTGTGTAAGTACACTATTAGGTTTCCATAATGATGACATCATCAAAAGACTCATTTCTCAGAATGCATCCACATTGTTAAGTGACATGACTGTATATATATGGCTTATAAGTAAACCTAAGCATAAATTCTCAACAAATGCTTGCTGAATTTGTACAGAAATGTTGAAGTGTGATGGGCCTCTTATATTCTTTGAGAAACTCTTCCCTTAGTTAAGAGTTTTATATCAGTTGTTGCAAAATTGTACAGTAAGGGGTTCTAAATACCTAAAATCAATGGTGCACAGAACTTTGGGCATTTTATTATAATTGAAGACCCAAGTAAAATTAGAAGAGAAACTTTCAATCACTATGTATTAGTCCATTTTCACACTGTATAAACATACTACCCAAGACTGGGTAATTTATAAAGAAAAGAGGTTTAACTGACTCACAGTTTGGCATGGCTGGGGAGACCTCAGGAAACTTACAGTCATGGCAGAAGGGAAAGCAGGCACCTTCTTCACAAGGCCGCAGGAGAGAGACAATGTGTGGGAGAGGAACTGTCAAACACTTATGAAGTCATCAGATCTCATGAATACTCACTCACTATCATGAGAATAGCATGGGGAAAACAGCCCTCATGATCCAGTCACCTCCCTTGACACATGGATATTATGGGGATGACAATTTGAGATGAGAATTCAGAGCCAAACTATATCATTCTGCCTCTGGCCCCTCCCAAATCTCACATCCTTTTTAGATTTCAAAACCAATCATGCCTTTCCAACAGTCCCCCAAAATCTTTTTCTTTTACTTTTTTTAAAATTTTATTTATTCTACTTTAAGTTCCAGGATACATGTGCAGAATGTGCAGGTTTGTTACATAGGTATACATGTGCCATAGTGGTTTGCTGCACCTGTTAACCCATCATGTAAGTTTTACGCCCCACATGCATTAGGTATTTTTTCTAATGCTCTCCCTCCCCTTGTCCCCCACCCACTGAGAGACCCCGGTGTGTTTTTCCCCTCCCTGTGTCTGTGAGTTCTGATTATTCGACTCCCACTTATGAGTGAGAACATGAGATGTTCGGTTATTTGTTCCTGTGTTAGTTTGCTGAGGATGGTGCATTCCAGCTTCATCCATGTCCCTGCAAATGACATGATCTTATTATTTCTTATGGCTGCATAGTATTCCATGGTGTATATGTACCACTTTTTTTTATCCAGTTTATCATTGATGGACATTTTGGTTGATTCAATATCTTTTCTATTGCAAATAGTGCTGCAATAAACATTTTTGTATGTGTGTGTTTATAGTAGAATGATATATATTCCTTTGGGTATACACCACATAATGGGATTGCTGGGTCAAATGATATTTCTGGTTCTAGATCCTTGAGGAATCACCGTACTGTTTTCTACAATGGTTGAACTAATTTACATTCCCACCAACAGTGTAAAAGTGATCCTATTTCTCCACAGCCTTGACAGCATGTATTGTTTCTTGACTTTTTAATAATCACTCTTGGGACTGGCATGAGATGGTATGTTGTTGTTTTGCTTTTCATTTATCTAATGATCAATGATGCCGAGCTTTTCTTCATACGTTTGTTTGGCTGCATCAGTGTCTTCTTTTGAGAAGTGTCTATTTATATTTTTTTGTCCACTGTTTGATGGGATTGTTTTTTTTTCTTGTACATTTATTTAAGTTCCTTGTAGATTCTGGATATTGCACCTGTCAGATGGGTAGACTGCAAAAATTTTCTCCTATTCTGTAGGTTGTCTATTCACTCTGATGCTAGTTTCTTTGGCTGTGTGGAGGCTTTTTTGTTTAATTGGATACTATTTGTCAATTTTGGCTTTTGTTGCAATTGCTTTTGGTGTTTTCATCATGAAGTCTTTGTCCATGCCTATGTCCTGAATGGTATTGCCCAAGTTTTCTTCTAGGATTTTTATGGTTTGGGGTTTTACATTTAAGTCTTTAATCTATCTTGAGATAATTTTTGTATAAGGTGTAAGGAAGGGGTCCAGTTTTGGTTTTCTGCATATGGCTAGCCTGTTTTCCTAGCACCATTTTTTAAATAGGGAATCCTTTCGCCACTGCTTGTTTTCATCTGGTTTGTCAAAGATCAGATGGTTGTAGATGTGCTGTCTTATTTCTCAGGTCTCTATTCTGTTCCATTGGTCTGTATTTCTGTTTCCCCAAAGTCTTAACTCATTGCAGCATTAACTCAGAAGTCCAAGTTCAAAGTCTCATCTGAGACAAGGGAAGTCTCTTCTGCCTAGGAGCCTGTAAAATCAAAAGCAAGTTAGTTACTTCCAAGATACAATGGGGGAACAAGCATTGGATAAATGCTGCCATTCTAAATGGGAGAAATTGGCCAAAACAAAGGGGTTACAGGCCCCATGTAAGTCTGAAATCCCATGGGACAGTCATTAATTCTTAAAACTCCAATGTAATCTCCTTTGACTCCATGTCTCACATCCAGGGCATGCTGATACAAAAGGTGGGCTCCCATGGCCTTGGGCAGCTGTGCCCATGTAGCTTTGCAGGGTACATCCCCACATTCCCCAGCTGCTTTCATGGCTGGCATTGAGTGTCTGCAGCTCTTCCAGGCATACGGTGTAAGCTGTTGGTGTATCTACTATTCTGGGATCTGGAGGATGGTGGCCCTTTTCTGACAGCTCCATTAGACAGTGTCCCAGTGTGAACTCTGTGTGGGGGCTTCGACCACGTATTTCCTTTCTTCACTGCCCTAGCAGAAGTTCTCCATGAGGGCTCCACCCCTGCAGCAAACTTCTGCCTGAACATCCAGGAGTTTCCGTACATCCTCTGAAATCTAGGCAGAGGTTTCCAAAGCTCTGTTGTCGTCTGTGCACCTGCAGGCCCAACACCACATAGGAACCACCAAGGCTTGGGTGTTACACCCTCTGAAGAAGTGACCTGAGCTAGAACTTGGCCCCTTTCAGCCACAGCTGGAGGTGGAGGGGCTGGGATACAGGGCACCAAGTCCAAAATCCCAAAGCTAATCTCTGCATGCGTACTAGATTACACCTTCTGGCCTCTTTCCTTCACAGTCATATTTCCTCTCTTTACTAATTATTCCTATTAGCATAACAACTTTTTGGAATATTTTTCATCTTCCAAAAAAAAAAAACAACTTTTTTTCACCTTAAATCCCAGAACTGCTACTGCTCAATTTCTATGTTCCCCTTAAGAGTAAAATTCTGTGAATGGCTATGACTAGCTAAGGACCACTGAGCCAACTGACATTCTCTTTATTATCTCAGAAACTGTTCATGGCCCCCTCAGTTTCCTATGGCAGTGAGGGCATTATCTGTCACACCTAATCTGTCACACCTAATCTACCACTTCTTCTATATACTTGCTTCTGATGTAGGAGTCTGATTTCCATATGGCTGTGATTTCTCCTGTTCCCAGTGTTTCTTTTATGGGTACCCAGGTGGCATGGCAGCTGAACTAAAACTAGGCTAAACTGACCTCTTGCTGTTAAAACTATCCTTTTCTTTCATGGGTGTTGTCTTTTCTCATCAGTGGACTCCAGATGTCATCCTCCCTAAAATGAGAAAAAGCCTTTTCACACCCTACTTTGCCACTACCATAAAATAATACTACCATATATTCCACATGTCTTAGAGATTTGAGTGATATGAGCCATCCCAAAGTTATAATCTCCTCCTCTGTGGGCTCTGTGTACAAGGTCCTTAGTAGTGAAACAATTAATATAGTTCATATTATATTTTAAATAATTGTTTCTCTATTACATGGACTCATTATTGTTTGATTAAGCTAATGTATCTTGTCTTCCCTGAAGATAAATTGCTTTGCATGAGACTTTATGTAAATTGATACCTAGGGCCTCCTCTATGCAAGCTTGCACTTGTCTGATTTTAAGGATATTAAAGTTTAGCTATAAATCTCTCTGTGTGTTGTGCTTGTTCATAGGTATATTTTAGACTTGTAACCTATGACCAAAGTATGTCTATGACTTATGAAATGTTTGGTATAGTGAAATGTTGGCAGAAGATGCTGATGGAATGATAATTTAATATATTTTATTCTCATTTGGACAAAATAAATATGTGTGTGTGTGTGTGTGTGTGTGTGTGTGTGTGTGTGTGTGTATGAACTCAACAAACCACCTTTCTCTGTCTCTCTTTTCTTCCCTTCTCCACCTTGATACCTTTCTCTGAGTTTATATTGTAGAGAAAATGCTGAAACCTCTGAAAGAAAACTGAAAATTTAGTCTTCATTACTCAATGTCGTAAGGATTATACTCATGTCCCATCAATAGAATGAGCTTAAGGAAAATAAAATAACTGTGACAGACACACTAGAAAAATAAGGCACTGATATATTAGTCATCTTTCAGTTCTGTGACTGCACAGAGAAATTCTTTTTGGTTTCTCAACCATATAGAAGCCTACTTCTTCATGATAAACCCCAAAAAACTCAATTTGTATTTTAATATTATTGAGATACAAAGTTAAACACATATTATTATTCAAAACTCAAAGCAATTAAATCTAGATGTTATTTTGCTATTGAATTCAATAAGCTTTCCATACACATCCTTTTGAGAAGATCCTACTTGGCAAAAATGACTATGTTTTGATCTGCTCTGGACTGTCTTTATGTATAACAGTAAGACAAAGAAAGAGAGACATACAGACAGAATAATATTGAGGAGAAAAACAAGAGAAATTTTTTGAGTAGGGAAACCTATGAATGGAAAAAAAAGTTTTGGAGTAGGAAAATCTATTAATGAAAAGTGTCAAGAAGAGGGGGCAAGGGAACATGCAGATAATCCAAATCAGAGGACTGATCAGAGCATCTTGTAGAGATACAAAGGTAATGATACTAAGGAACATAGAATAATGTACACAATTTTTAAGTGCTTGTTAGAGAACATCATTATATCCCATGAAAAATCATGGTAGCATCATGATAATATTGTGATTATGTCTCCAGAGTTGGTTCCTTCCAGTGGGTTCTTGGTCTCACTGACTTTAAGAATGAAGCCATGAACCTTCATGGTGAGTGTTACAGCTCTTAAAAATGGTGTGTCCAGAGTTTTTTCCTTCAGATGTGTCGAGTTTCTTCCTTCTGGTGGGTTTGTGGTCTCGCTGACTTCAAGAATGAAGCCATGGACCTTTGTGGTGAGTGTTACAACTCTTAAAGATGGTGCGGACCCAAAAAGTGAGCAGCAGCAAATTTATTGTGAAGAATGAAAGAACCAAGCTTCCACAGCATGGAAGGGGACCCGAGCAGGTTGCCACTGCTGGCTGGGTTGGCCAGTTTATTCCCTTACTTGTTTCCGCCTATGTCCTGCTGATTGGTCCATTTTGCAGAGCGCTGATTGGTCCATTTTACAGAGTTCTGATTGGTGCATTTACAATCCTTTAGCTAGACACAGAGCACTGATTGGTGCATTTTTACAGAATGCTGATTGGTGTGTTTACAACCCTTTAGCTAGACACAGAGCACTGATTGGTGCGTTTTTACAGAATGCTCATTGATACATTTACAATCCTCTAGCTAGACAGAAAAGTTCTCCAAGTCCTCACTCGACCCAGGAAGTCCAGCTGGCTTCACTGCTCAATCCCCCCTCTAAACAGGACACCCCCACTGCTCTTGGGAATTGGACGATGACTGCTGTAGCTACTTCCTGCTGGAAAGGGGTCAAGAAGGGGCCCTGCAGTTATAGTGTTCTCCAGAGGGGAACTCTTTAGGCCAAAGGGCCAGTGGGTCGGTCCAGGTGTCCTGGGTAAAAGTTGTTAGTTGAGCTCATTTGGGATTCCATTTGTAAGACCTTCTGTAGCTTGATGGCCTCGATCCTAGAGGAAACAAATTTGACAAGGAGGTTAAAAATACAGGGCCTGAAGGTGAGTAACAGCAAGATGGCTTCCATGGAACCTAGAAAGGGGAGAAGCCATCTTGCCCAACTCCAGAGGTTCATATAAGAGTTTGAAAGGCTTTGTTTGATTTCAGAAGCCTTTTCCTGAGAGTCCTCCTTTCTCAGCGGTGTGGAGGTCTAGGCCTTGGCGGTTTTGGAGAGTCACTACTGCCAAAGAGTCTATTTGGGATTGTAGAGTAAGGATATATTTTGTTATTTCTTGAAAACTGTCTGAGAAATCCTTTGAGAGTGTCTGGTAGTAGGATAATGAAGTAGATAAACCTGCTATTCTGGTTCCTGTAGCAGTGGCCATTCCTAACCCTATAAGTAGGGGTATTAGTTGTATGGCTCTATGCTGACGGACTTGAGCTTTGAGGGGCACTGATAGGGTCTGATTTCCTGGAACAATGTTAATGTTGGGACTTAGGAAGACTAAGGTGCAGGTGCCTGTCCAGTTAGTGGGGAGGCAGATATAAGTTGACGTTCCACATAAGAAGAATATGCCTTGGCTGGGTAGACAGAAAAGCTATGTTGTTAAAAAGCTATGTTGTTTCCATTTTCCCATACTCCTAGAGTACTTGCCAAGGTAGCTCTAGTGAGTGGCTGGAAAGAGGTGTTGGGAGCAAACTGAGTGGCTCCCTGTATTCTATTTTCCCATTGGAGAAAAAAACATTTTGTATCTACTAGGAACCATTTGAGGGAGTGATTGAAAGAGGGGATGAGAAGGCATTCACTAGTGATGGGGGTGCTGCTGCAGGGGGTCCAGGGGTGAATGGTCTTGCAGGGAGTATGTTTGCCATTACAAAACCTGGACTATTTGTTAAGCAGGGAGGAGTTGATGATTTTTGGAGTTCCTTAGAAGCAGACAAGCCATCTGAATGGAGCTGTTTGGGTGACTTGGAAGTTACTATGATCAGTTGGGGCTTGAAGTTGTAAGGTGTAATTACACTGATGGGGTCTTCTAGCCTGATTTGGACTGGGCAGGCATTTTTTACCCTTCTGAATTGTCCTTCCAATGCCCAGACTTCAGGGTTGATTCCCTCCTCAAGCAGGGGACTACAAATGGGTAACTTTTCCCCCATATTCATGTAGATAATGGCTCCAGCTTTGGATAATACATCCCTCCCTAATGAGGCTATGGGGCTTTCAGACATAACAAGAAAGGCATGTGAAAAGAGCAAATTCTCCCAATTACAACTGAGAAGGTGGGAGAAATACCTGGTTACAGGCCATCCCAGGATTCCTCAGATGGTAACGGACCTTGAGGACAGCTGTCAGGACAGGAGATTAACACTGAGAAAACTGTGCCAGTGTCCAGGAGGAAGTCAATTTCATGGCCCTCAATGGTTAAATATACTTGGGGCTCAGTGAGGGTGATGACATGAGTTGGTGCTTGCCCTGGGCACCCTCAGTCCTGTTGTTGAGTCATCTGGTTGGGGGCTTCTGGCCCAGAGAACCTTTGTCCTCTGGGGCAGTGCACCTTCCAGTGATTGCCTCTGCATAGCGGTAATGGGTGAGGGGGCAGCTTGTTTCTTGTTGGACAATCCTTTTTAAGGTGTCCTTGCAAACCACACTGGTAACAAGCCTACCAGGTGATTGACCTGCTCCATTTTCTGTCCTCTCTGAACCACGAAGGTTTGTTTGTCTGAGAGCCATGTCTAAGGCTACAGCCTTTCTCTGATCTTGCCTTTCCTTTTCAGCCTGTTCATCTTGGTCCCTATTATAGAACACTGAGGTTGCCAGGTTTAATAATGCCTCCAGATTTTGCTCAGGGCCCAGGGCTCGCTTTTGGAGCTTTCTCATAATATCTGCAGCTGATTGTTTAATAAACTTATCTTTTAGGATCAATTGACCCTTGAGGGAGTTGGGTGACAGGGGCGTATATTTTCTTAAGGCCTCCCGTAGTCACTCAAGGAAGGCAGAAGGATTTTCTTCCTTTCCCTGAGTTATGATGGACATCATTGAATAATTCATGGGCTTTTTCCTAATTCTCCTTAGTACTTCTAGAGCATAAGTCAACAGATGTTTGTGACTCCAGTCCCCATGATCTGAGTTGAGGTCCCAGTGGGGATCCATATTGGGGATGGCTTGCTGACCGGTAGGGAATTTGTCCCTTTCTTCAGCTGTCATTCTATCATTTACTTGACTAAGATTCCAGGTATCTCCAAACTCCCAGGCTGCAGCTAAAGCCGCATTCTTTTCATTAAAGGCCAGGGTTTGATCTAACAATAGCATGACATCTCTCCAAGTGAGACTGAAGGTTTGCCCTAGACCCTGTAGGACATCTATGTACCTATCAGGATCATCTGAAAGCTTCCCCAGGCCTACGCTGATCTGCTTTAAATCAGAGAGGGAGAAGGGGACATGTACCCAGGTTGGGCCAAATTCCCCTCTCCCTACAGCCTAAAAATTCTCCTCCAGAGGAAGAAGCCACCTTTGTGTTATGATGCATCATGCCCAAAACAAATCATAAAGAATGGGTAAAATTTTGATAAATAGACAAGGGAGAAAGGTCATTCCTAGGGGGATACAAAACAGCATTCTGATTTCAGAATTTCTGATTCAATTGTTCTAGGATTGGTTGAAGTCTAAGAATTTGCATCTCTAACAAGTGATTGGGTGATATGAATGTGCTGGTTGGAGAAGACCATGGGTTTCAAGGAGAAAACATAGAGTCACCATGGTTGAACTTAGAATAATGTAGCAGTCAATAGGCAGTAGTCTTTAAGTAAACAGTAAAGGAACGGACCATAAATAACCCAAGTAATAGAAAACAGGGCTGAAAGGAAAGAAGGCACAACTTTCCCTTCACCAGCCTTGTAAACTAGATTCCATATTGGATAAAATCTATTTGAATTTATATTTTTTACCATATTTTTTTTGAAGAAGACTCATGGTATTTGGGAATTTTAAAAAAATACGTATGTTTAGTTTATAGTTTTTTAACAGAGAAACGTGATGCTCATTTAGAATAATAATGTGAATTTTTTTAACTTTTAAATAAAATATTTTAAAGCAGGAAAGAATTATTATGGCAAACTTCTTTATTTTAAGGGTAGAAAAATAAAGGTCAATATACCTACATTATGAGATGAAATCACTTTGCTATATAAAGAAATAAAATTTAAGATTTAAGGTTTTTTTACACTCACACCAACAGTGTAAAAGCATTCCTATTTCTTCACATCCTCTCCAGCATCTGTTGTTTCCTGACTTTTTAGTGATCCCCATTCTAACTGGCGTGAGATGTATCTCATTGCGGTTTTGATTTGCATTTCTCTAATGACCAGTGATAATGAGCTTTTTTTCATATGTTTTTTGGCCACATAAATGTCTTATTTTGAGAAGTGTCTGTTCATATCCTTCACCCACTTTTTGATGGGGTTGTTTGTTTTTTCTTGTAAATTTAAGTTCCTTGTAGATTCTGGAGAAATAAGAAAGCTTTTACACTGTTGGTGGGAATGTAAATTAGTTCAACCATTGTGGAAGACAGTGTGGTGATTCCTCAAGGATCTAGAAACAGAAATACCATTTGACCCAGCAATCTCATTACTGGATATATACCCATAGAATTATAAATCATTCTACTCTAAAGACATATGCACACGTATGTTTATTGCAGCACTATTCACAATAACAAAGCCTTGGAACTAACCTAAATGTCCATCAGTGATAGACTGGATAAAGAAAGTGTGGCACATATACATAATGGAATACTATGCAGCCATAAAAAAGGATAAGTTCATGTTCTTTGCTGGGACATGGATGAAGCTGGAAACCATCACTCTCAGAAAACTAACACAGGAACAGACAACCAAACATCACATGTTCTCATAAGTGGGAGCTGAACAATGAGAACACATGGACACAGGAAGGGGAACATCACACACTGGGGCCTGTCTGGGGGTGGTGGACTAGGGGAGAAATAGCATTAGGAGAAATACCTAATGTAGGGTTGATGGGTGCACCCATCAACCACCATGGCACGTGCATACCTACGTAACAAACCTGCACATTCTGCACATGTATCCCAGAACTTAAAGTATATATATGAACATATATATATATGTTTTGTTCATATATATATGAATATATATATTCATATATATGTTCACATATAATTTGTGTATATATATATGTTTATATATATATTTATTGATATATATGTTTTTATATATATGGTTTTTTTTCCTCCAGGTCCAGTATGAATTTGAGTATAAGATGGTTTATAAACTCTTTATAATTTTACCTGATGCTACTGGTTGAAGCTGAGACTCCCATTATTTCTACACATTTTTAATCTACCTACTTAAAACTTGAAGTTCCTATTTACTCATTTTCTTCTCTTCTAAAACTATTGATAAACTTGGTTTTTGCATACTTTTAAGTTCAGCTGTCAGTATTATTAGGACCACTACTTATGCTCAAATAAAGAACACAAAATGTAAACTATGAAATATTATATTATAAATATGTGTAGAAAGTTGACTTATTTTTGTTCTTATAAAGCAAATTGCCAGAGTGTACAAACAGATTCATTATTTAGTGATTTACTAGTTATATCACATCCATCCTTCTATAGTATCACGAATGAGTGCCTACTGCAAATTGAGGCAGGTGTAATTTTTTTAAATGTCATTCCTTAATCTGTGATTCAAAAAAGGAATAATAATATCTCTTGGCAAATTTCCACTTAACTCTGAAGTATATAGAGGTTTTAATTCCTTTGAGACATAAAATCAATATAAACTGACCTGGAAAAATGAGAGAAACTCCTAAAAAGTAGTGGTAAGATTTAGTATAGCGCTTCAGTTAGAAAGTATCCAAGATGCTATGGAACCAATATTCAACTTGTAGAAACATGAATGCTTAAATATTACAACGAAGTCAACTTTGCAAAGTACATACAATATAATATATGAAAACATCAATGACATATTTGAATTATTATATGAAATACTGATTTATTAAAACAGTGGTTCTCCAAAATCTTTGTTACCAATATATACTGGATATTTTCTTTTGCTTTCCAGATTCACTCTGCACCCTTCTTTATAATCCTCTGTACCCCGACAGACAAACTGAACTATATCAGTGTACTCTCTTGCCTCATGACCTTAATTAAAATAAAGAGAGTCACTTTCAGGAGATGGACATTAGTCAGAGAGTGAGGGTGGAATATTTATTTTCAAAATTCCTTCCCTGCTGATTTGCTATTTCTCTATCAAGTTTCTGCTCATGACAGGAGGCCATTCCCATACAGTTGTCGTCTATGGATCCTGAAAATTACTCTTGTCCACATCCCAATTTGTCGTAAGTGCTTCCAGTATTGGTGGAACTTGTAGCATTATATTCTGTGGTGTCCCTAAATAAGATGTTAGTTAATTCTATTCTAGCTGCTTGAGGGTGATGTTACCTACTAGAACATTGGCTACTTCAACCATCCTCAACATCCCATAATAAAACCAATTCATAATAACATAAATACTAATTACATCAACACTATACCATAAACACAATAACATAAATACTAACAGTAACATTTTGTATCAATATAAATATTTAATAAATAATAAAACATTAGTATGAAATTAATATATGACCTCAGATTACTAAATAACTACCTGTGAATTTAAAAAATACCCACATACTTAAAGTATGATTGCTTTGACATTATGTTACAACAAATTCACAGGTAGCAAATTACTAGTGAAGTTTTATTCCTTAAGAATTTTAAAACAATTTTATGTATATCCATGTTAATGAAGGGTTAATATAGTTACTAATGATTACAGTTTAAAAATACTGTTGCTGAAAATATATATCTGTACACGCTATAGGAATAAACAGCTATCCATACAAGGTAAACATAGTTAATAAATATTACCGAATAATTATTTGTAATTTTGTAAAACAGAAGACAGCAATTGAAAACCACAACCAGTTCAAATTTTATGATACAGTGAAAACACATTACTGAAGTCACAATTGCAGGAGGTGCAAACATAATCACGAGTAGAAATTTAGCATTTTATAGCAATCAGATTTCTTACCTAAGTGTCACAAGAATTCTGATAAGATAGAAAATATAATTTGTTCATATCGTATTTTCATTATTCTTACTGATTCATTTACTAAGTTTCCAGTAAATTGCTTTGAAACATATGTTTAAATGAAATTCTATAGTAGTACATACTAGTCATTAGAATCTAGACATATGGGTTAATGTTATATATTTTCAAAAATTATTCCAGGTGATTGTCATATACTACACATTGAAAAAATTATCATACTTTTAATTTGACAATGTAATAAAGTATTTTTATGATATTTTCAACATAACAAGTTTTCATTACATGTGCAGCATTAGTGTTATGTATTATTTTTATAAAAAGTTAGTTTTACACTTAATATGAGAATCAGTATTTGTATTTGACATATGTATAGATATTTTTAAAAACACAGCTGCTCCAGAAAAACTCTTAATATTCTTAGCAAAATCTACTCATTTTGAATGAAAATAGTAAAATTTGCCTGAATGGTTAGACAAAAATACAGTCAAAGACCATATTGTAAAGTCATTTTAGCATCTACAAAGTATTGTGGACGAATTTACTGTGCTTGCATGTGCACACACAGACACACACATATAATAACCTCCCCGCATATACATGAGGTACAGCAATTTAAAATTGAGACAACTGGAAGCAGAATTTTAAGGAAACTCAAAAGTCAATGTCCCTTTCAAGATGAACTCAGAGCAGAGTGTCTGACAGTTGTGGCAGTGCAGGGAACACTGACTCTCACAAAGATTTTAAGAACTAAGAATATCCTGTGCACCCATATTTTTTCCTTCTCAAGGCAAAGTAGCAACTACTTCATGAGAGTAGCAAGTACTTCATGAAATGTGCTACAGGAGGGGATCATATTAGGACATATAGTTCTGTAAGTAACAACCACACTTTATTCAGTGAGAATCCTGATATTGTTTTGTCTAATTAACTTGTCTCATCATTTCATACTCCAAGTACTAGATAAACCCCAGACTCTGGTTGCCCAGGCCAAACCCCCAAATCTAAATCTATATACTGCATGGCTAAGGCTGGGGATGGGGATAGGGGTGGGAGATACTCAGTTTTCACCATTCCTATCTGTTCTAAATAACCACTCTCCCCACTCCCAGAAACACTATGTCTTTCAAATGACAACCATTCATTTGCATTTGATGTCTTCAGCTCTCTGTGCCAGCAGTTTTTCATGAGGCCGCGTTTCAGCTGATCGATCAATTTAGAGGGTGAGATGCACTGGATGTCTTGAATGGCTGACATCTTCTTGCCTCCATGATGGTCTTAGGGCCTCCGTTCCCCATGGAGTCTCTCTCCAAATTGTATCTCCAGTAGAATATCCAGATTTCTTTCATGGTAGTGTAGGGCTCCCCATAGTGCAAAGGTGGAAGCTTCCATGTTGTCTTTTGTCTTAGGCAGAGAATTGGGACAGTATTGCTCTCCCCATATCCTAATAGTTCAAACAAATCACAGGCCCAGCCTAGATACAAGGGAAGGTGAATTATTAGGTTGTGAATGTCAAGAGATGTGATCACTGGGAGCCATCAGTGTAACAGACTTCCAAACACACTGCCAATCTATCTAGTTAGCTAGATTTACCAAGTTCTACAAATGAACCCTAAATTTAAAAATATTTTCGTTTCACACACACATTCTAACAGTGTCAATGGAAATACAAGGAACACAGTGTCATTATGCAAACAAATGGCCATTCAATGCCATCCTCCATTAATAAATTTGAGAGTGATCAGAGAGGAGGGAGTAGATACTAAATTTCCTGCCCGAGTTCATTTCCAATTCTATTTCAAGATTAGACTCCAACAAGACTATTAATATTTAATAATAAACATAACTTTATGGTGCTGAATTGACACACTCTTCTTAATATAAAGGGACCCAGATTTACAGTGATGGTCAAGAAATGAGATTTGTAATCTCAAAATATATGTAAAAATTAGGATCATTACTACATAGTAATTTACTAAAACAGTTGCCAGTGAAATAAATGAATAAAGTGATAAAAATAGTTAGACAGGGGGGTCCTTGAATTTGTTTAACTAAATGATGTGATGTAGAATCTTGATAGAAATCAAACTCCTAAAATCATATTTTCCTTTTCACTTATTAAAGAAAAGAATAGCATTGGAACAACTAATGTTCCTTTTCCTACAATGTAAATTGCACTTTTATCTTTGGGTTGATATCAGCTAGCTTTAGATGTGGTGGACTCTACATTGAACTATTTGAAACAAGTCAAATCTTAAACATCAGTCAGTTCCCTAAGAAAGGAGCACCTGGATAATGAAGACAGGGTTTATGACAGATCTCATGAGTTTTACCACTAAGAACAAAGCTAGTGACTGATTGGATAGGCCAGTGAGGTACTGCCTGGCTATATAGTAAGGGCAAGAGAAATACTGTTCTTAGTCAGAGGAGTCTCACTTGGAATCCAGAAAGGAGTATGGTGAGGTGATGGGAAAAATGGAGAAATAGCAATGCTGTTTGATAACTGTCTTCACATAATTATTGTCACTTCTGCCACAGACCTTCTCTTCCATTTTAAGTTTGGCTTTAATGCAGCTCAAATCCCCTATAGCCTGGCCCCTTTATGCTTAATCGACAGACAGTCTTGTGAGTCATGTCTTTGCAATTTTTTGGCTCTAACACTTAAACTAGGCAAGTGGCAAAACCTAGGAGGGCCACACAGTGCCCTGAAGGCTTTTGACAGAGGGTCCTCGCATCCTCATTTCTGTTAGAGATCTTTAATATGAAATAGTGTAATACATAATAAGATCAGGAAATTTCGCTTTTTTATTAAAAAAATCTGCTTTCATGAACTCTCATGGGTCATTCCTAACACAGTGACTGCTTAGTAGCCTAAAAGAGGCTAAATTCTTTGTTCTACTGTGCCCTTGTCAATAAGAAATGCCATTTAAAAAATAATGTATAAATAAATAGAATCTAAACATGAACAGAAGGGGTGAAAAGGAGTTGAATTTCAGGACTTGCGTCAATATTTTTTTCTGTTTATTTCTTTACCAAGCACCATAATTCCATTGTACATATAAATGGCTCGTATTGGTGGATTACCTCTAAGAAAGACAAACAACAAAACAAAACAAAACAAACACAAAAACAAGTAGAGTAGCTAATAGTCTGTTAGCTAAAGTTTTCACTCTCAAGTGGATCAATAAACTCCCAAGCCTTAGGAATAACTATGCTTATAAAAATGTTCACATTCTCATCATCACATAATCAATACAATAAATAAACTGGTTGAAAAATCTGTTTCTGCCTATTTCCCTTCTTCCTACTCTGACTCCAGCGAAGGGCCCACTTCCGTGAGCTCAACCATTGATCTTTCTACCTCTCATCCATTTCCCTTGTCACTGAATAGATATAATTTTAAGATACATGTAGACACACACAACTTACAGAGAATAAAATATACAAATACACATATATATAATTTTAATATATATACAATTATATCTGAAAATGCACACATATATACTTGTGTATGTTTATATATATACACACATATATATACATATGTGTGTGTGTATATATATATATATGTATATATGCTGATTTCTTACCTGTTATGAAATGTGTTACTTAAAAAAGTAGGTACACAATTATTTTCTCTTCATTGAAAAGTTGAACCCCTAAATTTTCTGCCTTATTTCATTCAGGGGAGTAAGGGAAAAGAGATTTTGCCATTCTCTTTCATTCTCTCTTGAAGTATTCCCTAAGGTAGAAGAGCAAATCGACATGTATGAACAAGTCACTATGCTGTAAGTCAGCACTCTTTCAAAGCACATTCTGTCTCTTTCTGGCTCCTCTTTTACTTGCTGCCAGCATTTAAGGCAGACTGGCTGTGCTGATCCCTTTAGTGAACTGGATAAGTTGAGTTATATTCTCTCTAGGGATCTAGTCTTATTTCTCTCATTCTTTCTCCATAGGTATACCCAATTATTCCTACAAACATATAGAATGGGAAAGAGGGAATAGGAATAATTTAGTCTTAAATCTAAACTGTGATTTCTAACTCAACCGTAAAAGTTTTCATTAAAATACCAAGCTGGTGATCAACAACCAGGATTTTATTACTGTTTGGCTTCCCTGGAAGGAGGAGTAAATTACATATATAAGCTCTGACAATGTTTTCTTTATTTAAATTTTATTAACTTCCATTTAAGTAACATCCCTATAAAATAACTTAAAAATAATGACACAGAGATGGATGTATGGTAGGTAATCTAGGTTACATTCTAGCAAGCATTTCTGCACTTTCTGCTTCTCAAAAGCCCTCAAGTTATGTTACTTATCCATTTGTGTCCATTCCCAGCTCCAAAAGTAGAGGAGGCCATAAACAATCAGAATATTCCACTGCCCTGGCCAAGTGTGGCTACAGGATAGACATGAGTCTAAGATATTTCAATAAGTGTGAGTATTAGGACTTCGGGAGGGAATACTGGTACAAAAATACCCATGTCCAGGAGCTCATTGTAATCATCTTACAGTCATAAGCACAGCCCCCTTTGCTAAAGTTCATAATGCAGAGTCAAGGCAAAGAGACATAAAGTAACTGAGCTATTGGGGACATTATTGAGATGTTGAATCATGTCAAATACACCTCTAGGCTTTTCATGTATTTTGTATTTCTATCTATCTATATCTACATTGCTTAACAGTTTGAGTCAACTTTTCTGTTATTGTAACCAACACTATGTAACTGATACAGCGTTTTTATGTTTTTCAGAGGAGATTTTAAAAAACAACATCTCTGATATTTTTGAGTCAACATTTGTCTCTTCTCCCCATATTGCCCTCCTCCCACTTACATCTGTATTTCCCAATGAGAGCTGCAAGTGTATTATGTGGCTCTAACTCTGGTCATGGGAAGATTAAACCCTATCAACCTGAACCATATTTTTTCTAATTGGGAATAAAGAGAGTTAATGGTAGTAGAAACTGAGAAGTATGAAGCTCAAGAGCTCTCGATAATTGTATTTCCCACTATGTAGATGAAGCTGCTCACTGCTTGCAGAGCATTAAAGTGAAGTGAATACAAAGATAATTGCAAAGCTGAGGGTGGAGTGTTGAGTCCTCACAGCATCAAATCTATGTATTGACTAGTCCGTCAGTTCTAATGACATCACCATTCTTTCCAGAGATGAGAGCAAAACAATTCTCTTCGTAATTACATTTCCATCATTTGAAACTGCAAAATGATTGACAAATATATTTTAAAGAATTTAAAATATAATTGTCTTTGTAATTACTCATTTATTTCTTGTATTTCAATAGCTTTAGGGGTATAAGTGATTACTGGTTACATGAATGAATTGTATAGCAGTGAAGTCTGAGATTTTACTGCACTGGTCACCTGAGTAGTGTACATTGTACCCAATGCGTAGTTTCTTACCCCTCATCTCCCTCCCACTCTCCCCCTTCTCAGTCTCCGGTGTCCATTATATTACTCTGTACGTCTTTGTGTACCCAGGTTAGCTCCCACTTGTATAAGTGAGAACATGAGAACATACAGTATTTGGGTTTCCATTCCTGAGTAACTTCATTTAAAATAATGGCCTCCAGCTACATCCAAGTTGCTGCAAAAGATTTTAAAAAGAGATTATTTTGTTCTTTCTTACTGTTGATTAGTATTCCTATATATATGTATATATGAATACATATATGAATATATATTGAATATGTAATGCATATATATGTGTACATTATATATAATACACATATATTCATGTACATTATATATATTTTTTATTTACCCCCCCCACACACACACACACAACACATTTACTTTGTTGACTCTCGAGGATGTATGTGACCTGTACTCAAGTCTCCCAGTGGCAGGTACCAGCACCAGCTCTGATGGGGTTGGCAAGGGAGTGACATAGACTCTGTGAGATTCTTTGGATATAAATAGCCTTAGTGTGTGGACTTTATCAAATGCCAATTTTAGTAGTTAAGAACTGGTCATGTGGACAGACTCTGGACCTCCTGATTAGCCAGCGTGATGCAGGCAGTGATGATAGCTGAGGTCACACACAAATTTTCTCCTTCCTTGGCATTTTGTTATTGTGCCTGTGGATGCAGCAATGGACTCTGTCAGCTGGGCTCCAGGCAAGAAATGGCCCTTGCAAAAGAATGCCAACTGTGGTGGTAGCAGGAGGATTTGTGTTGCCTTATGCTACCTCATGGAGGTACTCTGCTGTCTCAGGCAATGGACAGGGCCATAGAGCTCCCCAAGGTTTCTGCCCTTTGTGTTAAGTAAGCTACCAGGACTAGTGAAGGGGCAAAGCCAGCACGGGGCTGAGTCAGGCAAGTTCATGCTCTGAATGCCCATGTGCTGGTACAAACAGCAGCCCCAGTGGGAATCAAAGGGCAGTCTTCTAGCCACAGGAAGTAGTGCAGCTGCCCCGATGCATAGAAGAGTCCATATGGGGAGTGGAGAGTAGCAGGTGGCAGTAAGCTCCATCCAGCTCCCAAGCACTTGGCAAGGCACGTCTCACACATACAGTGTTCCACTAGCAACAGCTAGCTAGGTTTCAAGGCAGTCTGTGCCCAGAACTTAATACTGACCCAGGCCATATTCTTTTCCCACTGAGATAGAAACTGTGGCTTTGAGGACATGGCCTTTGTGGTCCCCTCACAAAGCAGGGCATCCAGCTCCTGTGCCTGTGGCTACAACATACTTCCCACTCATCGCTCGGTTCTGGCTAAGTGAGTTTGTCCCTGCTTGAGATTATATCACGCATCTCAGTTGTGAGCTTCTCTCAACCTGTGGCCGCCTCCTGAGTTAGTCGGCTGCCTTCCGCGAGGTCCCCTGTGAGGTAGGATCCGGAATGGCAGGCTACCTTCCATTCTTGCTGGAGTCTGGGAGAGCAAAGCACGGTCCGATGTTGTTCCCGGTGGCCTGGATTGCCAAGTTCCCCATTGGGAGTGCATATCCCAGAGGCAGTTTCTCTTCCTCTTATGCTCTGGGGACTTGCAGTATTCCACTTGGCTCACAGTGTAAGCTGCAGCCTGCTGCTTCCTTCAAAAGGACTGTGGTTTCTTTCAGTTTTCCCGTTGTTCCTGTGTTGCTTCTTGAAAAACGAGTTCACAGCATGAGTCCCTACACATTATTTTGTCTCGCCAAGTGGGAGAAGCATGCTTACAGTGCTTCCAATCTGCCATCCCGAGGAAAAAAAATGTTAATTCCTCTCTTTTCAAGTCACTGAAATATGATATCCAAAATTTACATTAGAAACTTCTCTCCTTTCTTTTAGTACAATTATTTAAATACTTAGATTATAACTTTCATATATCCATACAGCATTTTAATCCTCATATTTAGGGAAGCAAATACATTTATGTAAAGTAAATATTCATGCTCTAAATTTAATCTCAGGATTTTAAAACAAGTTATAAAGTACTCAAGAGATGTTCCTGTTATCTACAACATCAGCAGAAAACTCTGAAGTGAGTTACAAACTTTCAGGTGCAATAAGACTATCGATCACTATTCTGTACATAAGCTTCAAGTGTTTTCCAAGTGGCAGGTAAAAGCTTTTTTATAAAAAGGAATGTATACAAGAATGCTTTGCTGTGAGCATTGCATATAAAAGCATGAATAGCTTGGCAGAAAATCACAGAAAAATAGGCTAACACTTGCAAAAAGAGTGTTTTGGAGAGTGGATGTTTATTTACCTAATTCAGTTCTACTTAGACTTCTCAGACTGAAAAATAAAACAACCTTGATACAACATCTAATAGCCATTGAAATATCTAGTGGGGCAAGTGATTCTTATTCCTTCTTGTCACTTGCGTATTCATCATATTTTAGAATTTTTTTTCAGTAAATGATGAGTGTTTATTTCTTGATCAAATATTTACATTGCACATGTATTCTTTTTTTATATCCACATTATTTGTCCACACTCAGTGGATGGTTCAATAGAGTGAGTTTTGAGTACATAATTTACCATAAGAATTACTGAATAATGCAGAAACAAATGTAAAAACTGTTCTAGAATTCAGAAAATTAATGTAATACTTTAGTCTTTGGAAAAAATGTTTAATCTTTTAAGCATTTTTTGGGAAAAAATTCTGAGACTAAAATCAAAGTTTACCCTCACTAACTGTATGATTTTAAAACTGAAGCCAACATAATTTCCTGTCTCTATGTTGGACAATATTGGGACTGGAAATACTTTCCTATTAATAGGTTAACTAATATTGAGAATAAGCAAAGTCAACTTAGCTACTTGATTGAGAAAATGCTTGCTTCTAAAAGATAAGACTGTGAACCAACTAAAAGAGCTTATTTCATAGGACGAATTTGTTGCTTGTCAAGAATTGCTTCAAGGCCCTTGCTTACTGTGGCAAGTAATCTAAAGCTTTTATGTTATAAACTAAAATTTCAACCAATTCTCTGTCTTGCAAAACTTTGTTTAAAATCACAAAGCCTAGGTTCCGGTATCTTACAAATGATTTTCTTTGGTGTTTCACTTCTGTATAACACTACTACAAAAAGAAATCAAGGTGATTTTCTTGTACTGCAGTAGGATTAATGAATTTAACTTTGCTTATTCAACATTGTTGTTGCTGTTGTTTGGTTTGTTGATCAGTTGATCTGGCTTTTGAGATTTTGCTTGTTGAGAAACCTGGAGATGTCATTGACATCCAATACAAACACCCTTGCTGCTATGGCTGAAGTCCTCAACTGAGAAAAGCATAGTCCTCTGAGGTTACTTAATCCTCATGCTTGGGGGTCACTTCCTTAGTGCTGAGGTCTTTCTTAGACATCTGTTTAAATATGACAGTGAGGTAGTCTATCATTAAGTCTGAACTCAAACTCATTTCTTTTTTTCTTTTCTACTTCAAACTATATTTTGCTTTGAAGGAAACAGAAACCTTTATGAATACTTTAATCTTATTTAAAAACTGTTCTCAGTGAAAAAAATGCCTTCTTACAAGCCTTCCTGTCCATTCTAATCACTTTATGCCTTCAGTCTTTAAGAAAAAGTCAGAAGAAAGATGAGTCCATATTTGAGAAAACCTAAAGGACAGATGAATTGAGAAATCCTTATCTGAATGGTATACTTGGGTAAACTTTGCCTTTGGTCATCTTTTCAAAAAAAAGTTAAGATTTTTTTTTTCTTATCTCTTTATGTCCCTGGGAATAGCTTTGTTCCAACCTCTGGAACTGGAGGATTTATCAGGTTGGAGATGACTGGTCTTAGGCCAATTCTTGATAAAGAATTGATAAAGACATACTGGAAACTGGGTGATTTATACAGGAAAAAGGGTTTAATAGACTTACAGTTCTATGTGGGTGGGGAGGCCTCACAATCATGGCAGAAGGCAAGGAGGAGCAAGTCATGTATTACATGGATGGCAGCAGGCAAAGAAAGAGCTTGTGCAGGGAAACTGCCCCTTACAAAACCATCAGATCTCATGATACTCGCTCACCTTCATGAGAACAGCATGGGAAAGACCTGCCTCCGTGATTCAATTACCTCCCACTGGGTCCCTCCCACAGCACATGAGAATTCAAGATGATATTTCGGTGGGGACACAGCCAAACCACATCAGGAGGTTTGCATAAGCAAACCTGTTACAGTTACTAATCTCTTGTAAGGAATTGGTCATCTGCTTGATTCTCCAGGAAAAAAGAACTTTTAAACTCTAGCTTATGTTTCTGTAACTAGCATTATTTTTACTAAGAACAAAAAGAAATAGTCACTTTAAAAATATCTTTTAACATAAATGAGATCTTTTATATGAAATATGAATTACCACACAATTATGAAAGAAAGACTCATAAGATTACCATTTGTCTAGGCGTATACTTTCTTCAACATGGGAGGCCACTCTCAGTTTCTGTAATTTGGAAATTAAAACAGTAACACTTTTTATTCTTACGGCTTGATGAAATTTTCGAGTGCCTAAAGTTTATTTCTCGCACTGGCTATTGGCCATAATAATTCTTTCTCCCTTTCTCTCTGTCTCTCCCTGTGTGTGACAAAATATTTTCCCAAATTGACATTGCCTTCCCTCTTTATTAGGGAATATGAATGGGCCTTTAATAGGTTTTGCTTCATATTCCCCTTTTACCCTTCTTTATACTTTCTCCATTCTCTTGGGAAATTCTGAAGATTAATTATTTTTTAAATATTGTTTATTACATGAACATTTTAGAAATTGCAATCCTGGTAAATAGAACATTTTAGAAATTCTACTCCAGTTAAATAGTCATAATTTCTAAAATAAAAGGTAAAAAAGTATTTGCTTCTTTTGTGTATGACCCCTCGTCTAACACATACATCTGAAAAAGAATAGTTTAATTTGTAGCTTGGCAAGGGTCTTGGTGCCTAGATAAGCAGAAATGTTAGACATATAGAAGTTTCAGAGGGGATACCAGAATGTTAATCTTGGATATATGGATACAGAGATTTCTTTTTACTAAAGAGTTGATGTAATATTCCTCATACATAAATGATGCTTTAGAAAAATTAGAGTGAATTAATTGTAATCCTCTTTCTTGTTTTATGACAATTTAAAATGATTGTAAAACAATATTTTAATTTGTACAACATTTGATTTGGATTTCAGATTAAATTTTAAATTTATCTTTTAAAAAGTTACCTTTAAAAGTTTGTTTTATTGATCTAATGAATAAAATTTGTCAAAGTAATAAAAAGTATAACTAGATATTCTTTGGTTTTCTATCTGCTAATATTCTCTTTTATCCAGAAAGAATAAGGCATGTTAACTTATTTAAAGTGGTAATTAATATGAGTGGTGTCCTTAAGGAGAAGGATATTACAGAGTTGTTGCTACTATTATTCTCTCATACGATTTAGATAAACTAAAATGTCTTCAGACTTGGTTCACAGGAAAGAAAAATTGGGGGCTTTCAGATAATGAACTTCCTAGTAATTACTACTTATTTTATTATTTCTATTAAATAAATAAAATAAAATGTTATAATTAAACATCTACTTCTTCATACATTCATCCTCCAAGTAAACTTCTAGACAATTAAGTAGAGTCCTAATGTTACTGATATGGAAAGAATCGCTTCCTTAGTTGCTAACTACTAGCTTGTTGACCAATTGATCCACATATTATAATTGGCTACACAATGTTTTCAAATATTGAAAATTGTATCTACAAACTTAAATTCCTGATTATTTAAAGAAATCTCTTGATCTTGCATGCCATTGAGAAATAGTCTGCTGAAGCTGAGTATATAATAATAATTGATAATATACTGAATATTTACCATAAATAAGGCACTACTTTGAGTGCTTTACATATAATTTAATTTTTACAATTGCACAAAATAAATATTACTAATAGGTCAATTGACAAAGGAAACCAAGACATAGAAAGTATTAACAGCTTTCTTATGGCCATATAGCCAGTAACTGTCAAGATTTAGTGGAGAAAATCTGACTTCAGAGTTTGTCCTCTTAAGCACCCTGCTATATTGCTTCCTTAAGTCTGTGTAAATGTTTTTCAGTTGGCCAGTCTCTATAGCTGTAGGGTAAGACAGCAGTCCCTGTCTATTCTAGGTTACCGTCATGGCTGCTTAGGTTTTGAAGTTTATTATTAATGATCAACTTTGAATAAAGTGAAATATGTAATTCCATAGACACGGAATAAGTTCAATTAAATGAAGAAAGAAAAAAAGACCATAAGTAAGGAAGTTCCTATTTCTATCGTACTTACAAACACAGTACCTACGAATATTTCTATAGTACTTACAAAGTACTGTGACTTCCCATTCATGGTAGAAAGTTCTAGCTTAACAGTCAACTTCCAGTTCAGAATTACTGTGTGACTTACTCTTCTCATTTAATTTGCCACAACTAATCTCTGTAGATAATTTCTTCATGGACAGATAATTTTTTCTCATTTCCTTGTTGCTTTCAAGTTGCAACTAAACTTTCTTTAAGTGAAGAATATTTCAGTAAATTGTAATGCAAAAATGTTTACTTATTTGTAAAAGACCTTTTTTATATCCCTATATTTATATATAGTATAAACAAAAGAGATGACATGAATTAATATGCAATATAGCCCCTGTGTTTACTTTAAAATCTTTTGCTAAGACAATATTTTAACTATAGTCATTTCTTGTTATTCACAGTAATTATGCTATACGAAGTCACCACAAACACAATTAGCAAATACTGAACCATTGCTTCCATGTAAATACAGAGTTAGATACCTGGGAGGCTCTAGAAATAACATTTTTGTCAACTGACAAGTGCATATTATGTATTATGTGGTTTCTGTTTAAAGATAATTAATTTAATATTTTTTATAGTACTCCGATTGTCTTTATTATTTTTTTTAATTTCCATAGGTTATTGGGGAACAGGTGGTGTTTGGTTACATGAGTAAGTTCTTTAGTGGTGATTTGTGAGATTTTGGTGCACCCATCACACGAGCAGTATACGCTGCATCCAATCTGTGGTCTTTTATCCCTCACCCCCTTCCTATCCCTTCCCCCTGAGTCCCCAAAATCTATTGTGTCATACTTACGCCTTTGTATCCTCATAGCTTAGCTCCCACTTATGAGTGGGAATATACAATGTATGGTTTTCCATTCACTTAGAATAATAGTCTTCAATCTCATCCAGTTTGCTGCGGAATGCCATTAATTCATTCCTTTTTATGGCTGAGTAGTATTCATATATATATATATATACATATATATATATTACAGCTTCTGTATCCAGTCATTGATTGATAGACGTTTGGGTTGGTTCCACATTTTTGCATTTGTGAATTGTGCAGCTGTAATATGAGTGTGAAAGTATTTTTTTTGTATAATGACTTCTTTTCCTCTGGGTTTATACATAGTAGTGGGATTGCTGGATCAAATGGTGGTTCTACTTTTAGTTTTTTATGGGATCTCCACATGATTTTCCATAGTGGTTGTACAAGTTTACATTCCCACCAGCAGTGTAGAAGTGTTCCCTGTTCCTTGCATCCATGCCGGCATCTATTATTTATTGATTTTTTTTATTATTGCCATTCTTGCAAGAGTAAGGTGGTATCACATTCTGGTTTTCATTTGCATTTCTCTGATAATTGGTGATGTTGAGCATTTTTTAATGTTTGTTGGCCATTTGTATATCTTCTTTTAAGAATTGTCTATCCATGTCCTTTGCCCACTTTTTGATGGAATTGTTTGTTTTTTTCTTGCTAATTTGTTTGAGTTTGTTTTAGATTCTGGATATTAATCCTTTGTCAGATGTATAGATTGTGAATATTTTCTCCCACTCTGTTGGTTGCCTGTTTACTCTGCTTGAAAAAGGCCAACAGCACTATCACTCATGATTAAATGAAGTTTATTCAATACCACATTTTCTCCAAAACCAATATTACAGCCCTCTTTCACTTAGGAATACCAGGCAGCACCTTAGCACTACAGTTGGGGGTCATCTTAAACAGCAAAATCACCAAAAAAAAGAGAATTAAAATGCAAAGAATATGGTATTAAATAGACTATGAAAATTACATTGTTTACAGTATGAAAGCAGAACCAGAAGGCAAAGCATCACCACGTTCAACCTCATGTGGGACTGTGTGCATTGGGTGACACACATTTTTCACTGCTCTGCACATGTCTGCAAATAACCATAAAAGTACTGTGAGTAAGTATTGACTTTTGGGTTGCCAATAAATTTTAGTAAGTAGACAAATTTGCAAATGCAGAGTTCATTAATAATGAAAATTGATTTATTTTACAAATTAACATTTTAAATTCAAATAGTGATATCAGAGAAAACAGTCACTAAAGACATTTTTGTGCATTTTATTCACTTGAATTAGTAATGATATAATTCATTTTTATTACACATTAAAATAGGTGTTGGGAACACTGTTCTCAGGACTATTGGCTGTAGCCCATCTGCATATATCTAGGCCACCGGAGACTTTCGTAGAGTTCTTTCAGATTATATCGTTTCACACAACAGTCCCTCCTCCCAACTCATTTAGCCCAGACCATTTGTTGTTTATCCTTTGCCTCATATTATTCTTGATTTATTCATTTAGTTGAACCTTATCTTTTCACCACTGTCTAAGCTTCTTGAGGTAATAGACTTGTTTTTAAAGAATATTTAATGCAACGTTTGGCCGAACTGTTCATTGATCCCACTATATGGTGTAGTGTTCCTCTTTTTTCACAACATTCTTCTAGTTTCTTCTATCTCAAGCAACCTGTATTCCTATTATTGTCTATTTCCATCCTCTGCCCACTCATTTCCACATTTCCAAAAGCGTATTCATTTTTCAAAATCTAACTGAAAGTGCAAATGAAGTGTTGTTCTTAGTGTTCCCCAAGAACACCCTCAGGTTTAGAGGTCCACTAGAAAAACTCACAGAACTCAGAAAAGCTGTTACACTCATATTTATGGTTTATGACAATGAATGGGTATAGCATAAAATCAGCAAGGGAAAAGGGTATAATGGATAGAGTCCAGGAGAGACTTGCTATTTGTTTCTAGCTGTTCCTTCCCAGGGGAGTAATATGAATCACACTGAATTCTCTCAGCAATTATGTGTGATAACATACATGCAGTACTGCCAAACTGGGAAACTTATCCAAGTCTTGGTGTCCAGTGTTTTATTGCAGGTGGGAGAGAGGGTGCATGCAGACATGTTGTGCCCACATGGCTGACTTATTTACATAATCTTCAGCCTTTCCAGATTCCAAACTGATATGATACTGTATGGTCCAATGTCTTCACCATACATCACATTGTTACCATAAACCTGGCTAATAATCTGGCTTGGCCCAAGTCCCCAGAAAAACAAAGGGAAGATATTCTAAGGGTTTTTCTTCTAGGTCCAGTTAAGCATCAGACCTTTCTTTGGAATGTGAAGATTTCAAAGAATCCAGGCTTGCTGAGTTAGTCTTTTACTATACACATGTAATGTACTCCATGAAACCTCCCACAACATCTCCAAACAGAAATAAATTATTCCACCTCTGAAGTCATACAGCACTTTATTTCTTTCTTCCACATCAATTGTTTTCTTGTTGTAATTTGCTAAACTGAGGCTGTTATATGTCAAACTTGCGGAAGAAATAGAACAGCTAACTAATTGAACACGTTTTGATTTTCTGAGCATGGCAGTAGAGTAAGAACAAAACTTAGTCTTTCTGGTTTAGAATATTAGAGGGAGAGAGGGTGGTGAAGGACTGTTCGTAGAGAAGGGGATCAATATTAAAGACTTGACAGGTATGACTAAGGGAGGAATACTGGCTGACTGGGAATTTTAAGCTGCTTTGCCTTCCCAACTTTCTGAGTAAGATAGGGCAGGGGTAATAATAATAAGCTAAGACTGCCGACCACGTTGATGCTACATGTAATGGTTCAAACAAGCTTATCTTCCCTCTGTAGACTCTTAATTCTGGACAGTAGACTCATGTTTGAAGGAACATTTAATTTCTTATGCGCAGTATTAGTCAAGGTTCTCTAGAGCGACAGAACTAATAGGATAGATGTATATATAAAAGGGAGTTTATTAAGGATTATTGACTCACACAATCACAAGGTGAGGTTCCACAATAGGCCATCTGAAAGCTGAGGAGCAAGGAAGACAGTCTGAGTCCCAAAATCCTAAAAGTAGGGAAGCTGACAAACTGACAGCCTTCAGTTTGTGGCTGAAGATCCAAGAATCTCAAAGTTGAAGAATTTGGAGTCCGATGTTCAGGGTCAGGAAGCATCCAGCGTGGGAGAAAGATGTAGGCTGGAAGACTAAGCCAGTCTGGTCTTTCCATGTTTTCTGCCTGCTTTTATTCTGGCCACAGTGGCAATGATTAGATTGTGCCCACCCAGATTGAAAGTGGGTCTGCCTTTCCCAGTCTACTGACTCAAATGTTAATCTCCTTTGGCAACACCTTCACAGACAAACCCAGGAACAATACTTTGCATCCTTCAATCCAATCAAACCAACAGTCAATGTTAACCATCACACATGTTTAGCATGTTTTTCAGTACACAACTTAATACCTAACTTTTGTTGTGTACTTAGCATGTGTTAGAAACTATTCTACTGTTCTAAATACTTTATATGCATTATGCATTATATCACTTAATCTTGTGAGGTAGGGTTTTTTTTTTTTTTTTTGGCATGGTACATGTTTACAAATCCCACATCAAAATGTCACTTCTACTTCACACCATGTATTCCATTTAGAACATGAATTATGCTGAAATAATCAAGTGATCAGCAATGAGTATTCTTTTCATTTTGGGTCACTCTCAAAAGATGACTGTCATCAATTCATCAGATAGAATTTTCTTTAGAAATCAATACACTGAGATAATTTAAGCAAGCTACTCAAAATCCAAAACCAGTAAGAGGCAGAGGACATATTTAGACTCATGTGACTTGGCACCAGAGCTCATAATCTTAATTTTAAATAATACTGAGTTCTCTAATAGAAAACCAGTTGCTGTATTAGTACAGTGAATTGATATTTAGTACTTACCAAAAATCTCCTCAAACGTTGATATTTGGGTTAATTCCTGACCATTTCTGATGAAATCATAAGGAAAATTTAAGTCTTCACTGTAGAATACTTTTATGTTAAAGATGAAACACTGGGCTAGAATGAGTTACAGGTTTGACTCAGAATCTGAACATATATTGTCTTCGTTAGAGTTCGAATTTCAGCTTAAACAAATGAATACATTCACCCTTTCCTTGTGGTCAACAAAACGTCAAATGAGCAGTGAAAACTAAGTCATGGTTCACTGTTCAGTTGAAACAAGAGACCTTCAGAAGAACCACCGTTTTTCTGAATACTATCAATACTAACCTAGAAGTCAAAGTGAATTATTTGACTGTTTGATGCTACTGGAAAACCATTGGTGGTAAACTCTGAAACATAGAAAATAGGTATAAATTATCTTTTTCCTTTTATAGTTGTCACATACTTAAATATTTGTGAGGAATAAAAGATCAGAGCCGAATGTACCCAACAGACAAAAGAAATCAATTCAAGAATGTAATGAAGCAAATACAAAGAAAGCAAAACAATTGATAGGAAGCAGGGAAGATTTGTTTTAGTTCGCGGGACCAAAGTAATCAAAAAGAAAATAGCTCAGCTGGAAACAAAGGTATTTTGTTTCTCCTGATTAAGTTGTCTGGTCAATAATAGACATGGAAAACAGAGGAAAAGACCAAACATCTTATTTGGTCCTACATTTGGTAAGGTGTGCATAAAAGTGGCAAATATAGTTTCCTAACAAGGACGAGATTATAAAGAAAACAAGCCCTAAATCTTAAAATCTTAAGATACTAGACTCAAAGAAAACTTAGGACTCATGTGGCTCATGCAGTTTTTGATAGATATCAATCTCCTGATCAAATGTTTTCTCATACACCCATGATAAATAGTTTTTAATTCTATTATAAATAGTTTTTAAAATATGATCTAAGATCAAAGGGCTGACAATTTCCAAATATTATTTTTTTCATAAAAATAAGTGTCACAAGTTCAGAGAAGAGACAAACTTTGAAGATTTACAATCTGACCCATATAAGAAAAGAGCTCACAAGATAGTTTTAAAAATAGAGTTAGGGGTTACAAGCGCAGTTTTGTTGCATGGATACACACATAGTGGTGAAATCTGGGCTTTTACCTGAATAACAAACATTGTACACAATAGCTAGTTTTTTAACCCTCATATTCCTCTCACCCTCCCACCTTTTAGAGTTTGATATTTCACTCAAATGTCTGTTCTTTCACTCAAAGAGGAGATATTATTATTGTTACTGATCAGATGGTGCATTCTTGCTTGTGCCTCGTAAGAATGTGATAATGTAGAAGCTAGAAATTTGAGGAGAATGCCAAATGATCTGCTTTAACTCTGAAGATTTGCCAGATAAAGTGGACTTACAGGACAATCCTCTCCACCCAGAAATCTCTGCTCTAATGAAAGGAATAAAGCAAGATAGTAGATTGGTGAACAAGTAATTGCAGTTTTGCCATTACTTGTGCACCAACCTAATAGTTCTTATCTAATCACTTACTATGACTGCTTAAATAATAAGATAGGCAGTCCTTGCTGTAGGATCAAGAGTAATCTGCCAGCTTTAGTACTGAGTGGAAACTACTGCCCTTTCTAGCTCTCATGTAATCTGTTTCCCTCACTAAATTTGACTAAACAACTCTGATTTTGACTTCTATTACTGAAACTGTGACCTTCCACATGGCTTGAACATCTGAACATTAAGTCCTACATTGTAAACATAACCACATTATTTACGGTTCCTGTCCATTATGAGTAGTAACTACATAAAAGCAAAACCCAGCTTGCTTGTTGGACTGCAAGTTTTCCCTTATGGAAAAATGTGGTCTAAAAACTTGGCCATTCTTGACCTGAGATTGGTAACTCCTAACTTGAAGCAATCCGTAATCTGGTCCTGACAGTTTTTGAGTAAATGGAATAACTCCCCGCCCCCCGCCCCCCTTTTTTCTTTCTGAGACGGAGTCTCACTCTGTCGCCCAGGTTGGAGTGCAGTGGCGCTATCTCGGCTCAGTGCAAGGTCCGCCTCCCGAGTTCACGCCATTCTCCTGCCTCAGCCTCCCGAGTAGCTGGGATTACAGGCGCCCGCCACCACGCCTGACTATTTTTTTGTATTTTTAGTAGAGGCAGGGTTTCACCGTGTTAGCCAGGATGGTCTTGATCTCCGGACCTCGTGGTCTACCTGCCTCGGCCTCCCTAAGTGCTGGGATTACAGCCATGAGCCACCATGCCCGGCCCCAACTTACCTTAATTATAGTGATAATTAGATAATTCAGTAAATGAGAGCAGTACTTCAGAACTGAAGAGTTGGAAGCCAGCAGAACCTTTGAGGTACCACAGAGTAAACACAAGTATGCATGGTGCTTACTAAAAATGCAGACTTAAAGACCCTGCCCTGTACCTGTTGAATACAATTATTCAAAGTCATCTTCAATAATTCACTTTCATATGCATGTTTCCTTATTTTGCCATTATCCCTGTTGTAAGCAGGACATAGCAGATCGTGAAGTACCATAATGGAAAAATATTATCTTCTATAAGTTAAACTAATTAAATGAACATATAGACAGTGGTAAAGGAACAGCTTATATACAGGAGCAGTTTTACCTCCATCAATCCATCTAAAGTATGTATGCAGATAATGAAGGAGTTCAGCAGGACAAAAGTAGATGGCAACAGTGAATAGGGCTTAATGTTGAATATAGGAGATAGGGCCACATTGGTCACCAAAATGTTTCCACAGGTATATGGCAGAGAGATTTCTTCAGGCTTCTCCACGGTCTGAGTTAAAATCAATGCAGTTATCCATTTGTCTTCGTTGTCACTCCTCTCATATCAGCTAAATTTCTGATTGCTAATAGATGTCATGGCTATCTTAATTTGGAGGTAGGAAGTGCTCTAGGAAGCACTATGACATTCTTCCCATTTAAAGCACATATCCTGCTCTGTAAATACGTGAACTGGAATGACTATAAATAAGCATTATCCATCAGCCTAGTGTGAATCTATCATTGAGCATCTTATTGTCCCTGGGTGAATTGGTTTCTGACATAAAAGAATGAGGATCTGACCTTGGTGTATAGAAGATGCACCCCATGGAGTCCATGGCAGCTGGTTGCCAGACTTCCCTCCTGTCACACTATGGACCACACAGTATTCTTCAAAACATTTGTAATTAGCCTCCAACTGCCAATTTAAATCATTTTTCTTTGTATGTGACAATAGAAGGTAATACAGTCATCCTCAGTATCTGTAGTGGATTGGTTCCAGGGCCCCTGTGGATACTAAAATCCAGGGAAGCTCAAATCCGTTATATAAAATGGCACAGTACCTGCACATAATCTATGCACATTTTCCATCATATTTTAAATCATTGCTAGATTATGTATAATACCTAATACAATGTAAATGCTATGTAAATAGCTGTTATACCGTGTTGTTTAGAAAATACTATCAATTTTTGAAAAAAAATGCATAAAGTAAAACTTTCACAAAATACAATAAAAACCCATGAGGGAACCCCTATATAAGCTGGGAGTTTAAAAACCTTGTAAGTATGGCTAAAAATAAAGATATAATGAATGAGAAAGATGAACAGATGTTATTATAAACCCAATTTAGCTTATTAATTCTAATAGATAGATAATGGAAGCCAATTCACAGGAGTAAACCTAAGAGAAATGTTTAGAAATTAAAATTTTTGAGGACACTGAAAATATTCAAGATAATTGAAGGTAAATAGTAATGGAAAATGTAATTAGAAAGAGACCTAATAAGTTATAATAAGTAATTAGAAAGATTAAGCCTTGAAGCAGTAGTATAGAAATCTGCAACAGATTGTATGCAATTTCAGCTTCATATGTATCTCCGCTAAAGTGGGAAGAACAAAATGAAGAAAAACTTGTTAAAATATGAATTTCTCTTTTATTTCCTTTCCTTTGCAATTTCTTATTATTATTTGAGACAGGTTCTTGCTCTGTCGCCCAGGCTGGAATACCGTGGCACGATGTTGGCTCACCACAGCCTCCGCCTCCTGGGCTCAAGTGATTCTCCCAACTCAGCCTCCTAAGTAGTTGGGACTACAGGCATGCACCACCACACCCTACTAATTTTGTTTATTTTTTATAGAGATGCAGTCTCACTATGTTGCCCAGGCTGGTCTTGAACTCCTGGACTCAAGCAATCCTCCTGTTGCTCAGCCTCCCAAAGTCCTGGGATTAGAGGTGTGAGCCACTGTACCTGGCTAAAATATGGATTCTAAAAGGTTAAAATAAACAAACATTACTTTCTTACAAATATAAGAGGGAGACTGTGTTTCAAAGATTTACTTAAGTAATTCATTTATGGAACACCTGGAAGGAAATGTTGGTTCAAAGGAGTTTAGGAGAAATAAAGTTATTAATAGACACTGAAAGAAAGAATACTGAAACAATAATGTCAAAATCTATCCAATACTGGGTAATGTTCCACAAGACAATAAAATTGTAAACTTTGGGAATTGTCTTTTCTTAGGGAAAAAATTATTTTTATCTCTACAGGACCAAAACCATTTTATTTACTATTTCACAAATACTATTTGCACCATTATCACTTTTCTACAAGTTAATATCAACCTTTACAGAGTTGTAAAATATCCTATACAATAACAAAAAGTAAGTTAAGGAAAACTGCATAACCACTGATAAATTAATCTTTGAATGGGACTGTTAGACCCACCCACTAAGCTCTGGTAAAACACTGAAAGGATACTCCATTATAATTTTGTTTATTTCCAAATTTTTGAAATTTGTGTTTTTTTTAACAATCTATTTCAAGCATGAATAATAATCAATAAATATTTAAACACTGTATCTGTTTTTCTACACTCCAAGCTTTAGCGTCTTTTCAAGAAGCAGCTCTTTGATCTATTTACATTTTAAGATATTGAATAGTATCAGTCTAATTATTGCTCTTGTGTATTTTGGCTTCTTCAAAAAATTATCATTTACAAGATAATTTAAAATTTGGAAAATAGATAAGTATTTTAAAAACTATATTTACATCTCCCTAGCATTTATTATCTTCACTATTATACTAAGAACATGTATTTTTTATTTTAATACCTTTTGCACAAGATCATATAAAATGTAATAGCATTTTGGGAAAAACACAAAGCACACCAAAGCCATAATACAGGATTTATTCCCTTTAATAAAAGTATTAACTACACTAATAGAATCATATTATTGCTGACTTAATGCATCTCTTATGAGCATCACACCAAAATACTTTATACTCAATAGAATGCTTAAATGCCTTAAGCACAGGAAGGATATTCAAAATGATAGCAGCTCTTTTAAATGGCATACTTGTGAGGGGAAGAAGTGCAGTGACTAAATATGGTTTAGAAATTTCCACTTTAAGTTAAGGACATGAAGATAAAAAATTGTGACTTTCTAACAAGTATGTAGAGGTTTAATATGTATATGTATACATTAAATATTTCGTCAGTCTATATATGTGTATATAGTATATAATAGTAGACTACTACATACATATATATAGACTGACCAAGTGTTCTGTAGCACTAATAAGCCAAGATAAAAAGGAATAAGATTCAGTTAAAAATATCTTAACTATTCATTAGTTAAAATCCTAAATAAAAGAAGGAATGCATATTAATAGAATGATTTGGGTTTTTTTTCTTGTTATGGCATCAATGTTTAAAATAATAAAGATGACAAAGTACAAGCTAGGTTTGTTTAATCTATTTCATTGGTTATAATCAAACTTCAAAAATCTAATCTTTCACAGTTTCTAAAGAATCAAGACATAGGGCCAAGCAGCTGGAAAGCGTATCATTGATCAAAGGAGGAATGTAAATACATATTTGGGAGCAAAGTATTTCCATTTTCCTAACAGACTTGTTTTTTCATATCTCTTGGAAAACAGCATCTTCTCATCCTTGGCATAAACTTTTTCCAGGTCAAGATCAGAGAATGGACCTATAGAAAAACTAGTCCTACCAAAAGGCTTTCCTTTGCCTTCATGACTTCCTCTTCAGACCACCAAGATTAGGAGTTTCTGCAGGGAAACTTAGAGACAAACCTTTATATATTTAACTCCAGCACTATAATTTTACATTAAAAGGGATGGATTTACTTGATCTTTAAACAATATTACTATTAGCTAAAGAAACATACACATGCAGACACACTCATGCGTACACACACACACATATCAAGTTTAGAAAAATGTGCAAAACAAGTTTTTAGGGTAGGCTTATTCATATTTTTCAAACCATACTGAATTCATATTGGATGAAAGGCTTAGTAATAGTATCTGTAATCTGTTTATCTCCTTCCCCAGCTCTTCAGTTATTAAGATGGATTGTCAGCAATTCATTTTTATTAGGTTCCAATCTGGATGGCTCTGCTACTAGTGCATGTAGGTTTATATATGTATGGTTATGCATGTGTGATTGAACATTTGGTTATGGTTGTATAGATGTGTAGGTATTTGAGTGTATGGTTATATGTGGAGATGGGGGAGATTTTGGGGTGCGGGTGTGGGGTAGGAATGGGAAGTCCTACAGATGCTGTACTCTAGGTTGGTCCTTCACTTGAAATGCTACCTTTGCTTCACTCTCCCAGAAATATTCAACAGTAAGACAATCAAGGACATTATATCCACTAAATTTCTTATTACTTGATCCAAATTAGTGCATTGCTCGCTCCCTCAGTGATAGAGTATATCTATCAAAAACTTCAGCTGAGATCCCCAAAATTAGATTTTACTTGACCATTTCTGTCCTTATAAAAGCCACCTCCAACTCTTAGAATTTTGATATTTCCAAAATCATTTTCATTTTTCTCTTCCTCAGGTTTTCTTGGTGAATTTTGTAGCCAAAAAAGACAATTACCAGTGAACTTACAGAGTAAGCAAGGAACAGCAAATGTAGAATTGGATGATGACTTCTCTGTAGGAATGGAGTTTGAATGTGTTCTAAAAGTCTTTCATAAGAAAACCCTCAAAGTGGACTGAGGTAGCCAAGTATACCCAGAAGGGGCAGCCCATCATCCTTTCCATATGAGCAAGATGGGGATAATAATTGATTTTAGGCTATTGGTGGATACTTTTGTTCAAACTGTCTGATTTTAAAGCATTTTAGAATTCATATCCTATAGGTATAGAAAAATCAACAGAATGCCTGACTTGAAAAAAATATCAAATAAAAATTGGCAAAAGGAGGGTGAAGCCTCTATCTTCTACAACTTGTTCATTTCCCCTTTCTTCTTTCACATTTATAATTTTATTTTATTTTTAATTTTTTATTATTTATTTTGTGGGTACATAGTAGGTATATATATTGATGGAGTACATGAAATGCTTTGATATAGGCATGGAATAAATACTTGAGGAGATGGATACCCCATTCTCCGTGATGTTTGCTTTCCCTTTCTAGGTGAACTTACCCTATGAAAACATTGAAGATCTTATTTTTTTTCTCTCTTCCACTTTATGAATTCAGTCTATCTAGTAAACACACTCATATCAATATGTTAGAAACCATCAACACAAAACACATTACTGACAGCAGAATTTCAGTGCCTGTCTGTATGCTATTTTTGACATAAATGACATATTTTCCATGGATGAGGTTACTTGTGCAGAAGAATCACTTTTTAGATTTGAAATAATATCTTAATCCTTTTGAGATAGAAAAAAATATTTTTAAAATGAGATTTTTGGCACTTGAAATTTTCTAACTAGAATTTTCCTATAATCTTGCTCCCATATTGGACTGGCATAGATTAGGTGAGTCAGTCTGTTAGGGTTTGAATCTAGGCTTCTTCTCCTACTGTCCCTGTGACTTTGAGTTCAAAATTATTTAATTACAAGTCATTTAAGCTTTTTGTTTCTCAGCTTTCCTCAATGTAGAATGGAGCTATAATAATGTCCTACAACATAGGGTTATTATGAGAATTAAATGTGACAATATTTGCAAAGAGCTTGGGACCCTGCCAAAAATATAGTAAAATGTACATAATGGATTGATTAATAAACTTTCAAATGACTGACTTGGAGCTGGCTAATAAAATTGTCAAAAATTTTATAAATTTTGATGGTAAAAACACATTAGCATCGCAATGTAAAACAAAAGGAAACTGTCTTAATAATTTCATTTAAAGAATGTTCTTCCTATCAAACTACTAAAACTAAAATAAGAAATTGTGTATAATGCTGCTAAATTGCAACAGGGTATTGGAGTGGGAATCCAGAGGCTGGTGGCTAGTACATTATTGATACTGGCTTAAAGGGGTAGGGAAGTGCTGGGCAGAGAAGGGTGGGGTCCCTGGTGAGGGCTCCACCCTCAGGCCTGTGCCCACGGACCTAAGTAAGGACAGACACTTCTGTTTTCGGGCCCAAATATTGCATTTTCCAAGACCACCCTGACGCACCATGCCCTCATCCCGTGCCTATAAAAACTCCGAGAACCTAGCGGGAACAGACACAAGTGGATGGACATCAAGAGGAACACGCTGGCAGATGCCAGCAGGCCATCGATGGTGGAACAAAGCGGACTCCGAGGGAAATTCGGCCTAGGACAGTGGGAGGAGAGCCCGGCCACTGAGCAGCAGGATTCCAGGGGAACACCACCTTCTGGCTGCCATCCATCTGCTGAGAGCTTCCACCACTCAATAAAACCTTGAACTCATTCTCCAAGCCCACATGTGATTCAATTTTTCTGGTACACTAGGGAAGGAACCCTGGGATACAGAAAGCCCTCTGTCCTTGCAATAAGGCAGAAGGTCTAATTGAGCTTATTAACACAAGCTACCTGCAGATGGGAAAGCTGAAAGAGCACACTGTAACACACGCTCACTGGGGCTTCAGAAGCTGTAAACACAACCCTAGACGCTGCACGTGAGGTCGGAGCCGACACTTCTTAAGACCTACCCATCTGCCTGTTCCCCCTAGGAGTTTGAGCTGCAGAGCACGTAAGAAGCAAGCCACACCTCCATTGCACGCCCTGCAAGCAGGATAAGGGAAAACTCCTCCGGTTTCAGTATTGCTGCTGATCATCTAAGCTGCTCAGTAAGTCTTTTGAGCTTGCTGGATTTCAGCTGCTTTATCCTTTAAAGGACAGTTAAGAAAGTAAAAATTTTTATAAGGCTAAATCATATAGAAATTACAGAAACTTCATTCTAAATATAACTTTAGAAATCACGTCATCCACACCAGTCTCCCCCATCCAAAATTAGAAAGAAGAAGAAAATCTAGAAAGAGAAAATAATTTGCCGCAATTACCTGTAATACCATCTCTCCCCACCCCACCGTGGAAGTGACACAGTTAATATTCACAGCCCAGACTCTACAGGTGGATTGCTGGCCTCATTAGTTCATTTAAGAACATCTGAATCTAAGTTCATTATACAATACTGTGCTTGTGGAAGGCCCACTTTTCTAACATCCATCCAAAGAGAACTTTAAAATATTTAACTGGTAGAAGGTTTATGTTAAGGAAATAAAAACAGGGTTGCTGCATGTACACAAAATGAAAAAGGAATATATTCTAGGAACTAGTTTGGAATTAGATTAGTAAGATTTGCATTCAAACGAGGGTAGCAGGATTTTTCTCAGCGCTTTATTTCCTCACCAACTTAAGGTCTAATACATATAGAAACTGCTGGATATTAAGGAGTTTCCTGTAGCCCCAAATTGCCTGTCATCAAATCAAAGCAGTTTGTACATAAGAAGATTGCCTTACAACAAGTGAAAATTTAAAGCATTATCTTTTGTTTAAATAACTTAGTAGAAGAGCTAGTTTTTATGTAATTATTTGTACAATCAATAAATGTTTTTAAAATACATATTTAAGTTTTAAAGGCAAGGAGTGGGAAAATAAGCTAGATTTAATTTAGTCTTGTAGTCTTTTACTTTCAGATTTAACTGTAGTTCAAAATTGTCTATCTAAAAATTTGCTTTTATGTTTGATAAATTGATTAAGACATATTGAGCAAGAATAAATTGATGTACTATGTGGAAAGCTTATATCACTAATATGTAAACAACTGGATTGTGACTCAGTCTGTCTGAGTTCAGATTCTGTTTTCATAATTTACTAGTTCTATGCCTTTGAGTGAATCACTTTACCTACCTTTGTCACAATTTCCTTGTATAAAAAATGAGGATATTTCTAGAAATATTACAAGGGATAATGCATGCATATGAATCACCTACGAAGATTTGTGTCAGACATTTCATAGCTCTCAAAAAATGTTATATATTATGTATACATGCATTACATTTTTTAATAACAAAATGTCAATACATTCACAGAAATTAGAATTTATTAATTTCAAAATATTTACTACATTTCTACAAGATTTTATTTTCTAAAAGTTCTATGACCTTGCTCTTTGTTGGAGGGTCATGTATCTGTGGCTGTGATTCCAATAACTACTAGTCTGCTTGTGGTAATAGCCATTCTGATAGATGTGAACAGTGTTGTGTATATCTACATATTTGTCCTATTTAGCTATGGAATAAATTCAATTCCTATTATTTCTACACATACACTTTCTTGATTGTTTTTCCCATATTATTCGGTGGCTTTTGCACTGAGAGCAAACACAGCTGACAGTATGGTCTACTCTTGCAGATGCAGCCCAGAGTATTTGTCTTCTAATGGGCTCGTGGTTAAAGGAGTAAGAGGAAGAGAAGGGGCAAAGTGGTAAGGTACTGGCTTCATCACCACCTACAGAATTCAGTACTTTTCATTCTAGCCTACTGGGAGCATTAACTTGGGCACTTGTATATATGTGCACACACACACACCTACCCCTGAATGCAACACTCTGTCACAGAGATCTAAGGGAAATTACATTTTGTAAGGAAAAGACTACAGAAATTTTAGAATATTATTTGAGTCAACTACAATATTTTCTTTCCTTTTCTTCCTTTAAGTGATCAGAAAGCGGTCGAATTAGTTGATATAATAGTAGAGCTATAATAAAACATTTAAGCAGAGTTAGCTTTAAAGGCAAATAGGATAAACAGATATCCGTGTGATATAAAAGACAAAATGAAGAATTATTTTTCCCAATTCATTCAGCATTATAACTGAAATTCCATCATCACAGTCTCATTCCCTGAATTCCTAGGAATAATCAAAATGTATAGGTTCTTTAAATGGTAGAATGTGACACCATTCTTCAAATTTTTAGTGTGGGCAAGTTCAAGAAAAAAATTTACTATCATGAGATCAAGTTTTGTAGCAATGATAAACAAGATTAGGACTTTTGAGAAGCAAATATACCACTAAAGTCAAAGTCTGCCACTTCTAGATTACTTAGGAAGATAAGTTTCATAGGACACATAATAAGACCTATTTGGGAATCTAGAATTCATGGAAGAGGGGCTTGTATTAAGGAGAGAATTTCTGAAAGGCAAAGAAAAGTATCCATTGCCCAACTTTGCCATCTATATCATTTACCTTTATATATAGGCTACTGACTTTATATACAGGCTTTATATGTAAGCTAAACATGTAAGTATGGGGATATATTGTCCATATCTTTTTAGCAATCATAAAGTCGGACACGTGATCTCTGATACCATTCAAGAACAAGTGTAGAAAGGGAATTATTTTCATCATAACAATAAAGTGTTACTACTACCTTCACCCTGAGAGGGAAAACAGCTTGAATTGTCTTTCTTGAGAATTATTTCAAATACCTCTTGAAACATTAATGATATAATGTCTGATATAATAAAACCAATAAATGTCTGAGTTGGGAGCTGGGAGGACTCAGGGAGCTACTTTTTCAGAAAAGTTAACATGTCTCCTTAGTAAGATTTTATGTTTCATTGGGTTTACCCACATCACTGAGGCTTTGGAAAACATTGGCACATTCACTAATAATAGATGATTTTAGCTTAATTATTTTCAGCCTTTTTTTCACTTTCTTACTGACACTCCACTCACACCAGTAATCGAAACTTGAGTTCTAAAGGCTTTATTTCTGAGACAGGCTAGGAGAAGTCAAAGGACAATGAAACTTAAGGCTTACAAGCAAGGAACCAAAGTATTCAAGGTTGAATTACTGGTTATTTTCACACACATGTATGTTATTGAAGAAGAAATGAACTTAAAACTTTACCAATTTACATTAAAAGAGAAAACATCTTTTAAAATGTAGTACCTATTTAATCATTATCTAAAGACTGGCCTGGATTTTATGACTACAAATTTGATTATTCTGAAAGTCAATATACCAAACACTAGTGAATTTAAACAATTTATCATATGGTATTTCCTCATAATAAGTCTCTTCCATATTTCTTTATTTTGAAATAAAATGGCATTTCAGCTAGCTATTACTTATTTATATTACTTTGATTATAACAAAGCTTTTTCTTATTTGTATTTATTTACTAATTTATGAAACTCATGAGCCAAATACCAAATATTAGATTATACAGAGCACCTGGAAATTTTTCTCTTATTGATCTAAAAATCAATTAATTAGAAAGGATTTCATTCATGGATTATTTTTGAAACAAAATGTAGCTCTTTCTCTCTAAAGAGGCACTTGACTGACGGAATCAGAGAGGTGGGTAATACCAATCATATTCAGACGAGACCTACTTGGCTAGGATATATTCAGTGGCCTGGGAAGGTAATTTCTTTTCAGTGGGAAATCTAAAAAGTGACAGGAAGTGATCATATAAGGAGATATTCTTGAAGTAATGTTGAAGAGCCTTCCAAGCTATGAGAAAGAATTTTTCTCCTCAAAGGTCAATATCCTCCCAGGCCAACAAAACAGAATTTTTACCTTGGTTTCTCAGATTTAAAACAACCATCATTCCAGTGTTTTTCTTTCATCTTCTGTTTTCTTATTTCTCCCTTTTTATGTGACTTTTTAGTCCAGACCATGATATTCAAATGTTTAAATCTCTCAAAAACTTTTCTTTTTTTCCTTTTGAATGAAATTTGTGTTTTATTTGTTTGTTTGTTTTTACAGTAATGCATTTTGTAAACTATTGGCAAAGCAAAATTGTAGTATCAATAAGGGGAAAGTAAGTTTCTGGATTTCAGGGAAGGAAGTTTAACTGTACTCAACCTTCGGTTTTTTTTTCAAGGGCATATTATTAGCTTGAGAATGATCTTAGTTCTTGGCTTCTCTCCCGTTTCATGGGATAAAATTGAAGGATAAAAATGATTAAATATCCTCAACCAAAAGAAGGTAAGAACATAAATTAAGATTTAAAATTTTTCTAACTTCTGGTAAAGGCAAAATGGGTGATATAACCCATTTGAATAACCCTCATGCCTATAAAAATGATAAAACGCTGGACAAAACTTGTATAAATCAAATGCAATACCTGTGTAAATGTAACATAATAAAACATTGCTACTGTTGGAAATAACATAATTACTTCACTCTGTTATTATTATTGTTTCAAAGCATTTTAACGGTATCAAAGGCAAACCAAAACTGAAGGGATTTTGACCCTGGAAAGCAAGATTTTTACCCATACAAGGTGAGATTTATGTTTATACAGTTTTTCTTCTGAAGGAACTGTTTTTTTCCAGCAACAAATTAAACTCACTTAGAAAGCTATAATCCTTTTTAACTGAGGAATTAGAGAGAAGCTAGATTTTGGGGCTTCCCATAGTGATAAGGTATCCCTAATATCTTTGCCCACAATCTATTTAAAACCTTGACTCTGTTAATTCACCTATGCATGAGATGAGACTTTGGAGATTTCAGGGCAAAAGCACAGCTCTCTAACTGAAAAACATGAGCAGAGGTATTTGCCAATGGCTAATGCAGTAGGACACAATTTCCAATTTGATTCCTTTCATGCCAGAGGCTCATTAAATTCTTACAGCTTTCTGTTGCTATCCTAGATAGGCCAACTTCAGTAATAAAGACTAATTTTGTGGACTAAGAAATTTTCCCAGAACTAAGAACAAAACAGTAGTTAACCTGTCCTAACAATTTAGTGAAATCTACATTTCGAAATATAAATGTAATCCCAGTAATGTAAGGGCCTGAGAGGAAAAAAGAGTCAACATGTTTGAAGAGCAATAAAATAATTCAGAGTGTACATACTATGCACAAAGTCTAAAATACAAGAGCATTTCTAGACATGTATAGCATCAGGGAAAGATAAATTAGGTAAACAGGAAATCCAGTCAATAATAAAAAATCCACAGATAAAGTACATATTGGAATTAATAGATAAAGCCTTTGAACCATCTATGCTAAATATTCAAGAAAGTAATGGGAAGGACTGATATGCTGGAAAAAAGATGAGTGATTTTAGGAGGTACCTGAAAACTATGTTAAATGAAAAACTAAAATCAGCGCTTACAATTGAAAAATGAAATATACTAATGATTTAAATAAATGGCAACTTGGATGAAAAAAAGAAAGGACCAGAAAATTTGAAGAAAAACAAATATAGGAATAATTCAAATGGAAGCACAGATGTAAAATAAATATAATAAAAATGAATTCAATAATTCAATGAATTTAATTAAATTCAGAGATTCAGTGACCATTTTTAAGTGGCTGAATCTACATGTAACTGCAGTCTCAGAAGGACAGAGTAGGGAGAAGTTTGGACTGGAAAAATTTTAAAAATATTCTTCAATGACTTAAAATATTGATTAGAAGAGTCAACTCAGAAGTGGGATAAATAGAGAATACACACACACACATACACGCCCCACACACATGCACACACACAAACTCATATGTATATACACACATACCCTGAGGTAAATGATAGTCAAATTGCTCAAAAACAAGGATAAAGAAAAATTCTTAAAAGCAATCATAGAAAAACAAATGATACATCAGTAGTATAAAATGCAAACAGAATCAATGTCTAAACTGAAACAATAGGAGCCAGAAGACAATGGAAAAACATATTTAGAAAAGTACACAAAAGCAAGACAAGCTGTTAACCTAGTGGAACTGCAGAAGACACACTAAAGGCATGTTGATACAAACCAAAGTTTAGATAATTTATTTTCAATTTTTTGCTGACAAAAATGTTAGGGTACATTTTTCAAGTTTGAGAAAATAATTACGTTATGGATATTTGATAAGAATACAGAGCCTTAGAAATGATGATTTGTGGATATGTATAAAAATACTTTTTCATAAGTTCTTTAAGATTCAATTGGATGTTTAAAGAAAAATAGTTTTCCTGTGGAGTTTAAAGGCTATTTACAAATAAAATATATGACAACAATAGCCAAAAGTGGAAGAGTTTTTAAGTTGGATTAGAATCGTCGAAGATTCTTATATTTTTGTGAAATGTAATATTATTAATTCAATATAGACTGTAAAAAGGTAAAAACGCATATTAAAATCCCTGAAAAAATCAATAGCAATACAAAAACTATAGCCAAGCAAAATGGACAAAGACTTCATGACTAAAACACCCAAAGCAATGGCAACAAAAGCCAAAATTGACAAATGGGATCTAATTAAACTAAAGAGCTTCTGCACAGCAAAAGAAACTATCATCAAAGTGCACAGACAACCTACAGAATAGGAGAAAATTTTTGCAATCTACCCATCTAAAAAGGGCTAATACCCAGAATCTACAAAGAACATAAACAAATTTACAAGCAAAAAACAAATAACCCCATCAAAAAGTGGGCAAAGGATATGAACAGACACTTCTCAAAAGAAGACATTTATGTGGCCAACAAACATATGAAAAAAAGCTCATCATCACTGGTCATTAGAAAAATGCAAATCAAAACCACAGTGAGATACCATCTCACGCCAGTTAGAATGGCGATTACTAAAAAGTCAGGAAACAACAGATGCTGGAGAGGATGTGGAGAAATAGGAATGCTTTTACACTGTTGGTGGGAGTGTAAATTAGTTCAACCACTGCGGAAGAAAATGTGGCAATTCCTCAAGGATCTAGAATCAGAAATACCATTTGACCCAGCAATCCCATTACTGGGTATATACTCAAAGGATTATAAATCATTCTACTATAAAGACATATGCACACATATGTTTATTGCAGCACTGTTCACAATAGGAAAGACTTGGAACCAACCCAAATGTCCATCAATAATAGACTGGATAAAGAAAATGTGGCACATATACACCATGGAATACTACACAGCCATAAAAAAGGATGAGTTCATGTCCTTTGCAGGGACATGAATGAAGCTGGAAACCATCATTCTCAGCAAACTAACACAAAAGCAGAAAATCAAACACCACATGTTCTCACTCATAAGTGGGAGTTGAACAATGAGAACACATGGATACAGGGAGGGGAACATCACACACCAGGGTCTGTCGTGGGGTATGGGGTTAGGGGAGGGATAGCATTAGGAGAAATATCTAATGTAGATAATGGGTTGATGGGTGCAGCAAACCATCGCAGCACATATATACCTATGTAACAAGCCTGCATGTTCTGCACATGTATGCCACAACTTAAAGTACAATAAAAACTAAATAAATAAATAAACAAATAAAGTAATAGAATAATTTTGTAAAATACATAACTTTATATACACAGGTGAAGAATAAAGAGCAGATGATCCCAAAAGAAAAAATTTAGCATCATGATAGAATTAATTCAAAAATAACAATACTTACTTTAAATGTAAATGGACTCTACATTCCATTTGAAAAGTTGAAATTGCCAGACAGTGTAAAAAAATCAAGAAATAAATCGATGCTGTTCACAAATGATTCACTTTAGTTATTAATGAACTAAAGAAAAAATGTTGTAGTTTGTATACTTATTCCTTCTGTTGCTTCAACAAATCTTTTTATTTACCTACGCTTCCATTTCCTTATTCAGTAAAGAAATATAAAATACCTTGCTTATTGTAAGGCAACATTTATGGAGATACTGTGATGCAACAGAAAAAGCCTAGGACTTACCACCAGACGTAGATTGTAATCCTAGAACTTTACTATTTAAAAAAATAAAGCTGTGGTAACTCCTTTACCTTCTTTAAGATTCAGTTTTTTTCCTTAAAAATAGCAAGAGTATTGGATGATATTCCATGCAATGGGGAAATTTCTCTATGAAAAATCTTTGAAAGATTTAAGATTATTGAAAATAATTGTCGTGGAAATGTTAATCACTCTTCTTGCCCAATCACGCTCTTTAAAGGACATTGCCTATTCAGAGTCCTAATACAAGCTAAAGATATGTGTGGCATAGAAAGCCATTTAAAAGTAATTAATCTCCCTTGCCACTATTTTTAAAATCTAAGTTATGTGGTCTGCTGACTCATTAGAACTCAATATTGATAAAGTCTTTATAAATCTATTACCTAGTACTGATATTTAAAAAGTAGGTGGCAGTAATGAAATAGAAAGAAGAATACATATGAGTTGTAGTTCAGAGACCTTAATGGTCAGGTTCTATGAAGATCTCAAACTTCTACTACTGCTTTTTTTCTAGATATTCCCTTATTGCAGAGCTGAACTCCAGCATTAGTATTTATAAATACTACACTTTGTATTTTTTTAATTTTATAAAAATTTTCCTTACTCTTCTATGCATATCGTTAAAGTAAACTCACTTTATCAGAGCTAGCATGAGTAGGTCTCTGTCCTTGGCCATCAATACTGCACAAACAAAATAGTGATGCAAAAAGTAAGTTATGAATGGATTGATTGCCTAAATTATTTCTAATGCATATTATAAGGATCATTCGGAATATCATTTAAAGCCAGTAATTCTCAAATATTTTTCATGTACTACTTATTCCCTTGAGAACTGTGTACTTCATTAAACTACTTTCAAAACAGAAAGTAAAAAGCACATTTTTATATATCTATGAGAATGGGGTGGGACATCCAACAATCAAAAAGGAAATCCTTTAAATCAGTGGTTAAAGACTCTAAATGTCTAAATACAATTCTGGTTTGAGAATGGTAAAGAACCATTCTCCACAACTTGAGATTCCTGTGTTCCTTATCTATTACTGGAAGTTGAAGATATGCTCATTGTAGAGTCGAATTAAATGGATAATAGGAAAATTGGTGGAACTGACAAGTTTGATGAGTAGAAAAAGAAATAAAACCTAATTATTGAGAAAGTAAAACTGAATAAGAAATCTCAGCAAAAAGTGAAAAGAAAAATTTGATTGTAAAATAAGTTAGCTTAAAGTAAAAAGGAATGTCAGAAAGCATAATTCATATTATTTATATTTATTGCAATGATTTTTTTTTGTTAAGAAGAAATAGGAAAACAGTGAACTGTCCTCACAAAAAGAAAATGGCTGAGTAAAATATGGTTGTCTACTTAACCCATAGTTTTAATGTGGAAGCATGTAGTAAGCCAGATAAATCCACATCATACCCAGATACATTATTGACAATGTAGGCAATCACTGTTCCTTTTTAAATTTAATGAAAATTTGTGAATGATATCTACAAAAAAGAATTGTGCATGTACAATATGAATTAGTTTATCGGAAGTAAATTATCTCAGGAATCAAACCTGGGTTCTGAATTGAGCTTAATTTGTGTAAGCTGTGGAAACTTGGGTAGATTACTTAATTTCTCTGAATCTCAAATTCTTCATATGTAATATAACCTTAGCTATAATTAATTTTAAGTATTTAATGTGCTATTCTATGAACATATGATACATATTATAAAGCAATATTCAACTTTACATTGTGTTTATTATTGTTGTTGTTACTACATCACTGTCCTCAGTGGACTGGAAATTTCTTGTAAGTGGAAAGAATACCTCTCATTTTCATATTGGCCAAGATGCCTGGAAGATTATACTGTAACATATTTAGGAAAATGGAAGCAACAATGAGACAAATCTTGGAAATACTTTACATATTTTTGCTTTTGTTTGTCAATTAATCTTTTTCTTTTGAGATAATTGTAGCTTCATGTGTCAGTTTTAATAAATAATGGAGTGATATTCCATGTGTCCTTTTTCTAGATCATCTCAATGTTATTATCTTTCAAAATTGTAGAACAATATCATCACCAGAATGCCGACAATGATACAGCCAAGATACACAATATTTCCATTACCAAAAGAAATTCTTAGTTCTATTTCTTAGTTACATCTACTTTTGTCTTTAAATCTTGGCAAGAATTAATCTGTTATCTTTTGATATAATTTTGTCATTTCAATCATATTATATAGATGGAAGTATACAGCTTTAATCTTTTGAAATTGGATTTTATTTTCACTCAGAATAATTGCCTGAAGATTTATCTAGGTTGTTGTGTTTCAATAGTTCATTTCCTTTCATTTCTCAGCAGTATTCCATGGTATGGATGTAGTACAGATAGTTTTACCGTGAAGGACATTCAGATGGTTTCCGTTTTTGAGCTATCATGAAGAAATCTGTTATGACTATTCATGAACAGATATTTGCGTGAACATAAATTTTCATTTCTATTAAACAAATGCCTATTTGAGTATAATTCTCGGTCATATCATATTTGTGTATTTAGTTTTTTTAGTGACCTGTCAAACGTTATCAAGGGAGGCTTAAAAAGTATGGCAGCAATGTGTGAGTGGTCCAGAATTGCCCTGTCTTTGCCACATTTAGTGTTGCCACTATATATATATTTTTTAATTTTAGTCATTCTCAAAGATGTGTAGTGGTATCTCATTGTGTTTTCAATTTGCATTTCCGTAATAGCTAATGGTGTTGAGCCTCTTTTCATGTGCTTATTTTCCATTTTCAAATTGTCGCCAGTTAAATTTCTCTTTAAGTTTTGTTTTGTTCTGTTTTATCTGTTTTCTAAGTGGATCATTAGTTTAAAAATAAAACACTACTGAGTTTTCAGTGTTCTTACTATATTTTAGACACTGGTCTTTTATCAAACATGTAGTTTCCAAATTATTTTTCCACTCTGGAGCTTGCATTCTTATTCTCTCAACAGGGTGTTTTGTATCACAAAATATTTTAATTTTATTTAATTTTATTTTAGTAGAGTTCTCGCTATGTTGTCCAGGCTGGTCTTGAACTCATGGACTCAAGTGATCCTCCCACCTTGACTTCCAAAAGTTCTGGAATTACACTGTGTCTGGCCTAGATTTTAATTTTAATCAAGCCTATTTTGTCATTTTTTTTTCATTTATGGATCATGCATTTGCTGTTAAAGCTAAGAAATAATTGCCTAGCTTTCAATTTCAAATATTTTATTCCATTAATTTTTGAAGTTTTATAATTTTACATTTAAGTTCATGATTCATATTAATTTTTGCATAAAGTATGTGTTTTAGATCAAGGAAATCAAAGTTCTTTTGTTTTGCTTATAGATGTCCACTTGCTCTGGCATCATTTTTGAAAAGGCTATCGCTCCTTCACTAAGTTGCTTTTACGATTTTATTAGAATTCTTTATGGACATTTAGGCGGATAAATTTTCATGATTTCTAATGTGTTCTGTTTATCTATGTGTCTATTGTTCTGCAAATATTAGACAGCATACAAGCCTAATATATGGTTACTGTAGCTATGTATTAGTCTTGAAATGAGGTAGAATGGTTCTTTGCACTTAGTTCATTTTTTTTTTTTTTTTTTTTTTTGGCAGAGTCTCGCTCTGTCACCCAGGCTGGAGTGCAGTGGTGTGATTTCGGCTCACTACAACCTCTGCCACCTGGGTTCACGCCATTCTCCTGCCTCAGCCTCCTAAGTAGCTGGGATACAGGCGCCTGCCACCACACCCAGCTAATTTTTGTATTTTTAGTAGAGATGGGGCTTTGCCCTATTAGCTAGGCTGGTCTTGAACTCCTGACCTCAGGTGATCCACCCCTCTCTGCCTCCCAAAGTGCTGGGATTACAGGCGTGAGCCATCGCTCCCCACCCAGTTCATCTTTTAAATATTTTTTTAGCTATCCAATTCCTTGACATTTCCACATACATTTAAAAATTATCTTGCCCATATCTACAAAAAATTATTTCTGGGATTTTTATAGGAATTATGTTAAACCTGTACAAAAATTTGGGAAAAATTGCTATTTCTACTGAGTAATTCAATTCATGAAAAGAAAAACAAAAGTTTCCGTTCATTTTTATCTTTTTTGTTTTCATTCATCACTTTTAAAATATTTTTCAGCATACAAGTCTTATAAATGTGTTGTTAGCTTTGCATCTAAGCATTTTTTAAGGGGGCAAGAGAGGTGATTATAAGTGGTATTGTATTTTGTTTAATTCTGGAGACCATTTGTTGCTTTCTGTATGATTTCTTTTTGTAAATTCCTGGAGATTTCCAATATAGACAATCATGTCACCTGCCAATATAGACAGTTTATTTCTACTTCCCTGATTTGTATGCCTTTCATTTCCTATTTTTGATTTATGGCACTGACTATATCTTGCAGCATATGTTGAATATAAATAGTGAGAACAGACAACCTTTTCTTGTTTCTAATATTAGAGGGGAAGCATTCAGACTTTCACCCTGCAATGTAATATTAGCTATACATATTTTGTTGATGTTCTTCATGAAGTTGAATAAATTATCCTCTATTCTTGTGAGCATTTATGTCATAAGTAAGTGTTAATTCTGTGAAGTGTTTTTCTGCATTGATCGGTATTATCATATGGTTTTTCTTCATTAGCCTTCTAATATATTGAATTACCAAATATTGAACCAGTCTTGAAACCTCGTCATGACAGACTTGAATATGGCTTATATATATATTTTTTACATACTGATGAATTCTATTTGCTAACTTTTGTTAAGGATAGTTACATCTATATTCATAAGAGATATTGGTTCATAGGTTATTTATTGTAATTTTTTCATGTTGGTATGGTAATAATAGCTTCATAATCATAACTGATAAGTATTTACTCCTCTTCTACTTTGTAGAAGGTTGTGTAGATTTGGTTTGAATCTTCTTTAAAATTTGATAAATTATTCTAGCCTAGAATGATTATACATGTGATAATAGATTAGAGTTGGAGACATAAATATGTACTAATATTTTGCTAAATAAAGATGCAAATGACTATAAAAAATCACAGATGTATGTATACACAAATGTGTATACACACATCCAGTTTATTTCTGTCAAGTGTTAGGGCCTGAAAAAAAATGTTACCCAGTAGCAATAAACATACCTGGCATCAGAATCATGCTCCAATAGAAGAAACCAGGGTTTCTTGGAAAAATGATTGATTCTAAAATTGAGAAAGGAAATATACAAGATAACCCTACAGCAAGCTGTAATACCAGAAACCAAGGAAATGCTAAAAACAAACAATCCCCACACTGATGGGGGTATGTTAAAAGGACACAGGTGCTAACAGAAGAAGTACCAATAGGCCAAGCCAGAAAAGAACTGATCCACAGAATACTTAGGGCAGGATTGGAATATAATCCAAAGTATGCAATAAATATCCACGAGCCTATACAAATACAGATAAATAACTGAGTAGATAAACAAATGAGGGAGAAGAGATAAGTAAACTGTGCAGAACTTCATATAATTGTGTAGATACTCTATCCTCAAGAGGTGAGCATAAGTCTCCACACCATAAGTGTGAACTGCATTGAGACTTTCATCCATTGAGTATAGTGAAGAAAGGTAGAAAAATGCATCATGTAAAAACCATTACTGCAACAAAGTGATCCAGGTCAACATTGATAGTGATAAATTACATTGATAGTGTAGACCTGTGAAATTCTGTGATTAAAATGGCAACTTTATCAGTATGATTTTCCTTTGAAAAACCCATAATCCCACTATGAGCATTAAAAAAAAAATCAGACAAATTTCATGAGAGAGGAATTCTACAAAATGCCTGACTCTCAATGTTTCTAATGAGAGAGGAGTCTTAAATAGATAATGCTTTAGAAGAGTTAAAACTGCAAGTTAAGTGAATATTAAATTGTCAGAGACTAATAGTGGGATTCCTTGCGAATAGGTTTGCTTAGATCTTAGAGAAGAGATCAAGAAAAGGTGAGGAAAAGAATCCCTGTAGATAAGAAGTTATGGGTCAGAGAGGAAAACTTGGGAGCATCAAAGATAAAACCTTAAGAAACGTATCATTTTCTATGGGTCTCATCTTGACTATTCCTCTTCTTTCTTATTTTGGTGGGGCAGGCTTTTTCTGAGGACCCCGGTTTAATAATTAGGATATCAAGAGATGGTAATATTCACAAAATACAGAAAAGAGAACTTATCTAATCCACACTTTATGAGCAAAGATTTCTATCTAAATTTTTATTAAACACTGAATTTTTTGTTTACTTGTGAGGTTTTTATGTTATAGAAATTTTTAAATGACATGCATTAAATAATCAAATAAGCATCATCTTTTATTATCATTATTATACTTTAAGTTCTGGGGTACATGTGCAGAAAGTGCAGGTTTGTTACACAGGTATACATGTGCCATGGTAGTTTGCTGAACCTATCAACCCATCATCTACATTAGGTATTTCTCCTAATGCTATTCCTCCCCTAGCCCCCTACCCCTCGACAGGCCCCATGTGTGATGTTCCTCTCCCTGCGTTGATGTGTTCTCATTGTTCAACTCCCACTTATGAGTGAGAACTGCAGTGTTTAATTTTCTGTTCTTGCATTAGTTTGCTGAGAATGATGGTTTCCAGCTTCATCCATGTCCCTGCAAAGGACATGAACTCATCCTTTTTATGGCTGCATAGTATTCCATGGTATATATGTGCCACATTTTCTTTATCCAGTCTATCACTGATGGGTATTTGGGTTGGTTCCAAGTCTTTTCTATTGTGAACAGTGCCGCAATAAATATACGTGTGCGTGTGTCTTTATAGTAGAATGATTTATAATCCGTTGGGTATATACCTACTAATGGGATTGCAAAATAAGCATCATCTTTTAAAAGCAGTCTACATGTGATATTTTACCTAATTTTTAACTGCTATACATGATTTTTAGAACTTTTAGATTTCAATTTAATTCAAAGCAACACTTTTTTGAATATTATTTCCACATTTCAGATTTCTATTGTTCCTTCAGAGTGCAACTGCTGTATGGGTTCACCATTACTTGCCTTTCTTGTTTTATATTTTTTTCTTTAATTTTTATAAACAGACACATATATCTGCAGCTCTCACACAATATTCATAATAAAATGAACTGAATATATGGTGCAGTCCCTATCTTGGAGAAAGATGACATGGGTTCACATCTTGGATTTACTGTGTATTAACTTTGTGTGATTTAGCAAGATGTTCCACCTTGTGCTTCAAACTCTTCCTCTGTAAACTGGCAATGATAATAGCAAAATTTTCACAAAGGGTTACAGTGAAAAATTAAGAGAGTTGATACATAAAAAAATCACTGAGAGAAATTTCTACAATATTATAAACACTCAATACGTGTTAAGCATGACTATTACTATATTATTAGGTGTAGTGGTATTATTAATAGCTCTATTAATATGCACTGAAAAGGATGATGAGTAATATTGACTAAGTTCCAGTCACTAGGAAGAAGACACCATGTCTCACGCATTTTCATGCTGTTATTCATGTTCTCTTATTTAATTAGTCATTAAAAATTGTCTGTATTTTAAATCACAAGTGAGGATTACAGATGAGGATCCCATATATCATAAAAGGTTCAAAATATCAAACAGAACTACTTTCTTAAAAGAATTTGAGAGATAGGCAAGTTTCAATATATTTTCAAATTTTCACTCTTCTTTTACACAAAAGTTGCTAATAAGCCCAGATTTTCATTTTCTCTTAATTTTTGATCCATTTATCTTTTATCTATCTATCTATCTATCTATCTATCTATCTATGCAATACAACAGGAGAAATAAAAACTATGAAAGTAACAGCAATAAGCTGTTTCTAGATGGTCAGCATTCCTACAGGTTATTTTCAAGCATTGTGTCAGTTAATCTAGCAATCCTCTCTTAGGCAACTACCAATTATTTATTAATATTTATATACAAGGAAACTGAGTCCTAGAAAGTAAGTTATTTGTCAGCATGCTCATAACTGAAAAGTGCCAAAGCCAGGATTCAAACCCATATTCTTTAATACCAAAACCCAAATTCTTAACCATTAGACAAATCTAAGTCTTTAAAGAATAGAGCACAGTTCGTATACATTCTACCTCTGAATAGTGTTATAAAAGACTTCTAGGGTTCCACCCAAACATTAGATGGAAAAGTTACCAAAAGCAAGACCTTCTCCTTTAGAATACCTTATAAAGGACAAGCAGTTGTTCAATTTAGGCTATGCTCTGTCAGTCCTTTAAAAAAGTATTTCCTGTCTTCAATTCAGTGGAATTGCACATGGAATTGCACTAAAAATTACAGGATATAAAAAGTACTCTAAAGTTCTTATTGCCCTAAAACAACAAACCATATTTTTATAGGATCGCACTTGTCACTTACAGGAGAAATTTCCAGTCCTTTATCTGTTCTCACTGTGCTGGCATCTCTTTATTGTTTCAGCGTTTTAGAAAACTATCTGTAGCCCAAATTAAAAATTAAAAAAAAAAAAAAAGAAAAAGTAGTCAAATCTCATTCCAATCTCTTCATTACAATGCTACTTTGCTTCAAAGTAAGTGTGGAACTATTGAAATAAGATCATTGTAACTCTGAGACTTATCTTTGACAGAGTCAGCATTATGAAAGAAACTGAATTTTTTGTAGAGAATGAGACATATTAGTGAATAATAGGGGCTTTTTACAGAAGTATAGAAGGAGTAGGTGATAACACAAATGACTTGAAAATTTAATGATTAATGTACAGACGTACTATCTTCATTTTGAAGACTGTTGTGAATTTTTCTACTTCATAGCCAAAAGGAAAGTGGACAATATCCCTCCTCTGCAAAGATTAACATCACTCCCCAATCTCTGTCCAAAAGTTGAATTGCTCTTATCACTGATGGCAATTTCTGAATATCAACTATTGCATTAAATATTGAATTATTACACAGATCACACATTCCTTTTGGCTCTGCTGTATCCACAAATAAACGTTAGCCCTCAGAAATTATAATCTAATATTCAAGAAAAATAGAGACTTCTAGTCTCTAAAGGTTCTTCTCAATGAAGTGATACCTATACTACAGCCTCTGGTTCTATCACTATCTGACCCCAAAATCACATTTTTGATGACCAGTCATGAAGCTGTGCCATGATTAAAGCAATGTTTTTCCAGGTCTCCAGTAAGACTTTTTGTTTACAGTGTGAACATGTTTGTCTCAGGCACTCAACATATTGCTGCTTTGGTTTCACTACCTCTCTCTCAAGCACTTTCACTTTCATTACGGCTAATAATACAAACTCCAAACAACTATCTTTAGCTATTATCTCCTCATTTTTCTCCTTGACCATACACTTTGGCAATTCCCTAGGGGATAATATTATATCTCCAGATTTCAATAGTTGTATTTATCCCCTGTTATTTGCCTCAGAGATTTCACTACTATAATTCCTAGGTGGGTTGGTGGGCCTTTAGGCATCGATCAACTTCTCTTCATTCCCTTCCCACCACTGTTCTTTCTCCCACAACATAGTGATTGGTCCTATAGAATCAAAGAAAGCCTAGACAATTCCTCACTCTACTCAATGGCAGGACAGCTGTGGTTCTGAAATTGTACTGGCAACCAGACTCATGAGAAACAAATAAGTTTAATCTAATGCTGTATTTATTTGGCTTTATAAAAAGGATACAAGGAAGGAGATACAGAAGGCACAACATGTTCATCTCATCAGGAAGTTTTCGAGCTACCAAATACAGAATGTATTTTATCCCCTTAATTCACCCAGAGCTTCCCAGAAAAAAGCCAATAAGTGTGTTGGTCATCTTAAAACATAGAAGCAAGAGCCCCCTTTCCCATCAATCTTTTATACTATTTTAGGCATGCAGAGCCAAGCCAGCATGCTAACTTACAAATATTCAACCAGCTGTGTTCCAATCGAAGCAGACAAAACACAGCCAGTTTATCTTAATGTGGCTGTTTTCAAGGAAACAATGCTGTAAAGACCAAGTTAATTTTTAGACAGGCCTGCATCAATGATGTCTTGATGTTAGTATTTCATTAACTGACCTTCATCTGTATCTTTCAGCACAGGACTCGGTGGATTATCTCTCATTCCCTTTTAGTGTATATAGAACTCAGAATGATTCCCTTAAAGTTAAATGTATCACTGCTATATCTTTTCTGCTTCATAGTGCCAATACAAAGGTAGGTTTGTACTTCTCCCTTCCACATTAATCCCAAATGGCCAGAGTCATCACAGAACAGTATTGTGAGGGCTGGCAACATGATTTGCAGAGACTTTTGCTCAAAACACAGGAGAAACATGACCTATGACCTTTAGGATACTAAAATTAAAATGTTTGTTGACCTCAAATGTTTATTTACATGCTGTTGATGTTGCTGTAAGAAAAATTAACATTTTCAGTTATTAGCATGAATTTTACCATTCATTTTTCTGTTGAGCAATACAAATTGCAAATGCTGATAATTGAATATTTGCCGTGTGTATGGAATCACTGAAATCACACAAATGGTAGTTTCCGGCTCATATATATGTGTGTGTGTGTGTGTGTGTGTGTGTATGTATTGTGTATATGTGTGTGTATATATATATATATATATATATACACACAGGTATATATACAATTTTAAATACATAATTCTTACAAGAACTGTAACAAGAAAACCTGGAATTGTAAACAAACAAACAAACAAAAAAAACCTTCCTCCAAACAGGGAGGGAGCTGAGAGACAAAAGAATGACTCAGAAAAGTCCAGTTTGGTGAGTAGATGAGTTTATTAGGACCTAAATACGAGGTGCTCCTGGATGGCAGCAGGACAGCTTTGGGGATCTCTAAGCTGCTTTTAGGCTAATTTTCTGCTCTTTGCCTACTGTGTGTGTGTGTATGTGATGGGACTTTATCTGAGGTTGTCAGATATTCTTCAAGATGTTTGGGTTCTCAGAGACACCTGCTCCTTGGATCATTGCCCAGAGTTTAGGTTTCAGGCTGCAGATATTCACCCTTAAGTAACCTTGTGGGGGACCCATCACACTACAATCCATCCTGTCCCCAGCTCTTACATTCTTTCTGCCAATCTTATGTGAGAGGCAATGAGCAAAGTACTAGGGGAAAAACTACACAAGTCTATAATGTATAGCCATAACTCTTACACACAGGATGCACCCCCAGTACACACAACAGCATAAAAAGCAGGATGTGACTAAAATTAAGATGCCTATTAGCAAAATATAACTCCAATGAGTAGGAAAGGTGTGTAACAAATTTGAGAATGAGTCAAAGAAACTTAATCAGGCTATATCATAGATCTGAGTTGACAAATGATGTAAAGCATCTGTGACATTATTTTCTTCATCAGGAATATAGGCACAACAGTAGTGCCAATAAGGGCACCTGCTATTGGGTCTCCATTGCATTGGTGATCAAGCCTCTGGATGGATGCAATCCACAAGGAGCCTGGGTGCATTATTGGTGCTGTTGAGTTCTGTCTAGAGAATGGCATTGTATTTATTTAAGGCATACCACTATCATTTAATAGGAGGAGGTATACATATACCCAATAATCGGACTGATTGTTGACTGCTGCTGTAGTCACAACCCAGACAAGGAAGACATTACTTGTTGCCATACAGTTGCCATGGGTAGCAGGAACAAAAGCTTATGGGTATAAACACAGGTATCCAGTAGGGACCATCATGGGCGTATCCATTTCTTATAACATTATTACTGCTGTATTTTTTCTCATTGGCACCACAAAGGGCCACTGTAGGCTCCAGGCCTGGCTTACAGTGCCATATACATGACTTCCCTCTTTAGGATTGGGCATAATAACCAAATGGTAAGTTTCTAGCCTTGCCCACACTATCCCACTCTGACTGCTCCTGCAAGTATTGGTGCTGCTGCATGTTGATATCTTAAGGCTCTCAGATCACCATCAAGGAGCACAGCTCAGATCACCTACCTCTGGCAGTCCTTGTGGTGGCCTCTGGTGCCATAAAACCGACCCAGTATGGGGCCACTTTCCAGCTCAACTTCAGGTCCATACAGCCATCGCCACTTGGTAGATCCACTGGTGTTCTCAGGAGCACAGTCTGACCATCTGCTTCAGAGAATGGCTTAGAGTCTCAGAGGTAACCCTGAGAGCTTGCAGGGCCTGTTTTACAGGCCAACCATTCATAAGGAGTGATGCCATGTGTGGTAGTGAGTGACCCATTCAAAGATTGCATGGCTTCATTGAGATTCTTGGTCCAGGACCTTAAAGAGCAAGCCTGGGACAGTGCATGAGAGTTGGATTTTCAACAGGGCTTTTTTTTTTTTTTTTTCCCATGAAGCCAGTACATGTTTGGGTTATATGATAAGTGGAACCTCCAGTCTGTGAAATGGAGTCTCTGATCACTTTCTATCCTTAGCATACCATACATGACACTAAAAGTGGTAAGACACTTGATGGTATCCAGATGGGTGGCACATCTTACTGGGAAGACCTGTAGCAGCCCCAATGTTGTATCCGCTCAGGTTAGACCCATCAGTGTACCAGGCCCTAGCAGGTATTGGCAGGGTCTCCTTATATACAGTGGTTGGCCTAGTTGATGACTCCATTTTTATGCCTGCCCCTTCCACTTGTTGAAAGTGAATAGGTCCAAGCACCTCCTGTAGTGCCCCACTTAAAAAAAAAGTGGATGAGACATCCCTTTATTGTAGGTAGATGTGCCATGTTTGCAGGATATATGGATGTGCCACCTCAGAGGTGAGCCCAAACTCACCTTGGCTAGGAGGCCTTTCATTCACACTTTTATAGGATAGGCAGTTTTTACTGTGGCAATCTGCTTTATTTCTGGTGATAGCGTCTGTTTATTGCAATGCCCTAAATATGGTCAATAGCTGTTACTCTAGAATTGTATAATGGTATTCTCCCCCTTTCGATAATTGAGACCAAAACTCTACATGTAAATTCCCACTGGTTGCTTTTGCCACAAACCAAAATTCATCCCTGTAGCATCTCTAGTGACTTCTGATACAAAAGGGTGCTGTGGCAGTGGTCTTCTATTGCTTACACTTGGTTTACCAACAAATGTATTTTGTCAAATGTCTCTTGTTCCATGTGTGTCCAGTCCCATTTTTATCCCTTTTTACTAGAGTGCATAATGGGCAGAGGGTTTGTGCCAAATTAGAAATGAATATCCTCCGGTATCCCAGTAAACCTAGGAAAATCTTTAGTTGCTTTACAGTCTGAGGAACAGATTGCTGTGTTTTCTTATTAATGACACCTCTGGGTATATTACTCATCTTACTCAACCAGGTAACTCTCAGGAATTTGATTGCTATGCCAGGCCTCTATAACTTTTAGGGGTTGACTTCCCATCCCCTGTCCTTTAGGCCATACAAGGAGGTTTATAGGGCAGTCTCCAGATCTGTAAGAGACTCTAAGATTAGCGTGTTATCATTAACATCCTGAAGCAGAAAAACTGAAGCAGGTGAAGAGAGTCTAGTCAGGTCCCATGCAACTGTAGTGTGACAGATGTTGGGGCTGTGCCAGTACCCTTGTGATAGTACCTGGAATGCCCATTGTTGGTCCTCCTAAGTGAAGGCAAACTGGTTTTGTGAATCTTCTGCTAAAGAAATACTGGAAAAGCTGTTAGCCAAACAAACACAGCATGAACGATTTCCAGCTTAAGGACAACTTGCTCTAGCAGTTGAACAGTATTAGGTATAGCTGCATGTACAGATGGCATCACTTTATTCAGCTTATGTAGTCTACCATCATTCTCCAGCTGCCATTCAGCTTCTTCACAAACCACACAGGGCTGTTGTAGAAGCTCTGGGCCGGGCTATTTGTAATTTACGTAATTCCTGGACTGTTTGGGTGATTTCGGAGTGCCCCCATGGCGGATGGTATTGTTTTGCGTTAATTGCTTGACAGAGCTAGTGTACAGGCCTATTTGGTCCACCCCCTTTTTGTTCTTTGATTACTTTCTGAACTAATTTCTTGCTTTCATGCAGTTCACTGAGGTCCACCAATGCGTCCCTCATATCATAGATTCTATTTCCCGTTAATGGGCTCAGAAGAGCGACCAGTGCCCCATATCAAAACATTTTTTTTTAATTTGGAAATGACTTAGACATTTAATGAGGACCTAAAATAAGTTTAAGATTTTAAACTGCACAAACATTTCATCTGCAAGCATTTATTTCACTTTCATTTGCTCAATGTACTCATTTTAGCAGTTTATCTAGATGAGAACCAACACATTAAATAAAGCTAATAATTATTCCAAGTTGTTTCCATGTTAACCATTTTCATAGCTTGTGAATATCAGGTATTTGTCTAAGCAAGAAAGTTAAAGCTAAACATGTGGACATTTCTGCTGAGATTCAGAAAATTCAGCTGTTTTCATTAAACCAACATTATTGAATGAGTCTTGCTTATCAAAAAATCACACAAAGATCACTCTGTTTTTGGCTAGGTTTACAGTCTTATAACCTTCATTTCAAACCCTGACACCTTAAAGTGTCAAAATAATTCTAAAGCTTATCCGTTCAGTCAACTCAGACAAAAATATCTGCTAACACTTATGAACACATTTCTATTTTTATTTTGCCAATAATTTTATCTCTAGCTTATTTACAAAAGATTATTGAATTCACATGAACTTGAAAGAATTTGGACTTAGTTAATTTTAGAGCACTTATGTATTTTTCATCCAACTTGGTAGCATACTAGACACAACACAGAATATAATACATGTGTATACACATAAACACATTAAAACATACACATCCACACACAAAGATCCAATAGCTTTTATCTCAAAATTTTAGCCATGAGAAAGTATCACAAACTCATTATTTTACAAAAGACAGCAGGATTCAAATTATTTTTGACAAAATTGGGACCTGTTCATACAGCTAAACTTTATTTGCCCTGATAGATAGTCTAAGGAAAACTGGATTAAAATTTTGGGTAAAGCCATTTCCATGACAATTTGATAAAAAAAATAAACAAACAAACAAACAAAAAAACTTCTTTGTGTCTTTACGGTTTCTTTAGTTCCAGATGAGTTTCATTGTTTATATCTTAGTTACAACTTGCTGACCTGTATAAGAAAAACAAAATCTCCAAATAACCTTTAATTAGTTTTACTATAAACAGTTTTCTCTCAACTCCAGTAGCTTGTATGACTGCAGATTAAAAGGAGATAGAAAAGGAAATAGCTTTAGAAGACTCTACTTAACTCTATAGGTGCACATTAACCATCTAAGCTCTGAATGTTTCTTAATGTAATTTACCCATCAGTATTAAAAAGTGTACACAAATGGGCGATAATATGCAACCGTCTGGAGTCCTAGAAAACCTGGCATGCCTTTAAACTTCTGTGGGAGTTTCTACCCTTGCTCCCTTCCCTGCTCTAATACTTTCTCAGCAGCCAGTCTTAGTTCAACAACAGCATGTTTACTACCCTTATTGCACTTTAGCATCTAAGCTTCTTGCAATAGATTCTAAGTCCCACTTGCATTCTCTGAGTGTCCCCATACTTGTGTGGCAGCCCACAAAGGCTGAACAGTAGAGCAACTCAACCCCATATACGTGTTACTGCCCACCCCAGGATTCCCCCGACAGAGGTCCCTTCCTGACTCATTAATTTGGTCTCTTGGATCCTGTTTGTTACACCAATTGTAATAAGAACAACCCAGAAACATATAAAAAATATACCATCCTCCAAACTGGGAGAAAGCCCAGAGACCCAACAACAGCTTGGAAAAGTCCAGTTTGGTGAACAGATGAGTTTTAGGACTTACATACGAGGCACTCCTGGATGGCAGCAGGAGAGCTTCAGAGATCATTACTTGGAGATGATCAGGGTTCAGGCAGGGGACATAAAATCTTAAGTAACCTTAAGTAACCTTGTGGGCGATCTGTCACACTACACAAGCATAGTAAAAACATTGAAGAAAATTAATTCATTTATTTTTACTTTTGATATGTGCACATTCTACCAATAATCTTATACCTCTAACTTTGGATTACAGAGGAGTGAGAAAGGAGTGGAAAAAAAAAAAGAACTGTGTGTGGATCGAGCTGCCTTTCTCCCTTCTGTGTCATTATTTTCAGCATATGTTGGCTAATGCAAGAAATAATATGAATAAGGATGGATATAATAGAATTTCTCAGTCATTCATGTTTCTTAGAACACTAGGATTTTCTTTCTGCATTAAAATAAAATAATGGCTTGTATAGAAAGTGTGGCACATTAGGGCTGTCAGCACCCCCATTTAGTCAGTTATAGATGTAACAGACTGCTATGAAATGAATTTTGTCTTCCCCTCCCCGACATTTGTATATTGAAGCCCTAATCTCTAATGTGATGGCATTTGGGGATGGGGCCTCTGGGAGATAATTTAGGTTTAGGTGAGATCATAAAGGTGAGGCCCGTGTGTTGAGATTAGTGCCTTTATAGGAAAAAAAAAAACCAAGTGCCAGAGATTTCTCTCTGTCTGACATGTGAGGACACATGGGAAGACAGCCGCTGGCAAGGTAAAAAGACAGCCCTCACCAGAATCTCCAACTTCCAGGCTCCAGGACAATGAGAAAATAAGTGTATTGTGTAATCCAATCAGTATTTTATGGTATTTTTTAATGGTACTTTTTATGGCAGCCTGAGCTGACTAGGCTTACCTTGTTTCACTGAACTCCCAAGCATTATGGGTACACCAGGATTCTGTTCTCATGGATCACTGCAAACACTATATGCAAGTGAGCAGCAAGAAACAGTGGATACATATATGGCACTATATTGAACATGTTAACCTTGCTCACATAATGCCCTATTGTCCCAACAAACTTTGATTATAAAACACAAGTTCATAATAAAATTATTAAGAATTTTAAGGTACTGAGTTTAAAGCATTACACCAGTACAGGGACCATCTGAGTGTAGGGCCTTATGTGACTGATGTATGTAGCAATGTAGGTTGCCTGCTTATAAAACAGACCCTGGTTGTAATCACTTGTATATGGAACTGAAGAAGATCATAATCTGTCTTCAAGTAACAACTGATACTAAGCTAGAACATAAATACAATTAACAAATGGCAGGGTAAAAGTTGTCTTATTATAATAAGGATAGAAATTATGGAAACCTTAGGAGGAAGTATCTTTGGAAACATTTTAATAGGGAAGTGTGACAGATTATTCTGAAAAAGATAGAAATATGTACATTGTTTGAGAAAATATTTTAAAAAATATTCTCTACACTTGCCATACTATATGGTGAAATACTGAGATCCACCTTATTGCTAATTAACTATACTTATTACACATTTATTTTTTACCCAGACACCGTCTCTGACTCTAGTCATTAATTGATTTCAATCAACTAAAGATGACCTCAAAATAATAAGATTTTGGGGAAAAAGTCTCAATTCAATATAAGGAACCATTAGGTAAATAAGATATACAGTATAAACGTTCTCTAGGGTGTTTTAATATTCTTCTAAAGCACCAGTTGAGCTGACATGTTATAACAGTACAATATCTATATAAAATCATGTAATGTATTTTTATGCATCCATTTAATACTCACACTCACTTTCTTTCTTTTTCTGCTTCTCTGATAGCAATGTGAACTTTTACTGTTAGAGAGTCATATATTGTCCAGCTTTTTGTTTATGTGCTTCAATACTGTCCTTATTTTAACTTAGGTTCTAAATAAATACCTGTTGATAGAGTGATTTTATTTTGTTTGGTAATATTTGAAGCCTAGTCATATAAACATTAACCAGAATTTTGAAGACAGCTTTATCAATTAAATTAATTGTCCATAATTGTATTTGCATTTGTTAATAACTATATGCTATAGCATTTATGAGATTTTATTTTCTATTGACAAAATTACGGTGACAATAACATCAAAAACAATGACAACAGTAAACACATTACAAATTGCTTTCTGCTGATCATTTGACATAAATTAAATTAGCTGTAATTTATCTAATTAAAAAGATGAAAAAAGCTCAAAGTAAAATAATAGTTTACATGAACAAGAGTTTAGGAATTAATATTTCATGAATATAAGGAAGGGTTGTAACTATTCAATGTTCTGTTAAAACCAAGTGTTATTGCCAGAATGAAGGGTGGGGAAAATAGAGATAAGAAAGCACATGTAATCCCAAACAAATCTAATAAAAAAGGGAAAATTGAAATTAAAAAGCCAGAGATAGAAGGGTCAAACAAGTAGAATTGAACAACTGAGATACAAACCTGGAAAAGAAAAGAAATTTTACAGCTTTTCTGACCCAGCGAAAAGGGAATGATTCAGACCAGAAGCAGGCAGACTTTCAATCAATCTTTTGAGGATCAGCTTAAAAGTGAGAGAAAAAAATCAAAAATAACCTAAAAGTGGAATGATATAACTCATACAAAACTGGTTTCTTTTAATGCACTCAAAACTTTCTTTTCTGTCAATATTCTGTGATAATGGGAATGTTTTCATTCACATTTTCCATTTGGAAAATATTTTTGATCCTTTGTACATATTATTTATTCAGTGATTATGACTGTTCATTTCTTGTCATTGACCATGGGAGTAAAAATAATAGTTATATTTTAAAGGCTCTCCTGAGAACTGAGCCATGTTTTGAACAGAGCTATTTTGCAAGAATAAAAATGTAGTATCTGAAAATAACCCTTCTGTTAACTCTAAATGGTTTGGCAGTGGTTCCAGAAAAATTTGGGCAACTCTCAAAAGATTGTCTTGGACCTTCTGAATACCTGTTATTTTTATGCTGTAACACAATCTCTACCTTCCAGCCTAGAAAAACTCTGCCTACACTGAAATCATTACTGCCTAATAGATCCCACTATTTGAAAGTCAATTTGGTTTTTGAGTGAATTCACTTCAACTCCTAAGTGACTGTACTAATTCAGCACCTCTTCCTCGTCCTCACTGCAGCTCTGGGATCATTTGCCAACAATTGATCAAAAGGACCTGACAACCAAGAGTACCAAAATCCATCTAGTACCTCCCATGACAGATTCTGCCACTTAGCACAGAATTCCACTGATCTTTAATAACAGTACACTACTGTTGCATACAGGTTTTGATTGCCATGTAAATCACCCAATAATAGAAATGTCTGTCTTCAGCACAGTAAAAAACAGAGAACTCCCTGCTTCTGCTTTGGATGTCCAGGAGTTTATTCTCAATATTGCAGCTAGAGTTGTCTTCTTAAAACTGAAAGCCACCCTTCTACTCCCACACCACTCACTTTTATTAAACCCTGAATTCCCATTGTGACCCAAAATATTCTACATGATCTTGTCCTCTGCCACCTTTTTAAAACTATCTCTTCCTCATTTTATGCTTCAATCCATCCAAAGATTGTTTGATGTCCCTTGTACACATGAGCCACACTTTTAGGCTTTGCCCACAGATGGCACAGGTGACCCATAGTCTCATGTTGCTCATCACTTTCACCATGACTCATCTTCTCCATGTGGTCGTTGGTGGTCCCCCAATCTCTAACCTACAACAATTCCTATCCCCTTCCTTTTTTGTGTGTCCACAGTATTTATAACCATATAACATACTGTACATTTTACATCCTTATCTTATCGTCTGCCTTCACCTTCTAGAATATTATTTGCATGAAGGCTAAGATGCCTTCTCTTTTCTGTATAAAGTGTTATTAGCACCTAGAATATGTCTGTATCATAGTAGGCACACAGTAAACATTTGGTGAAAGACTAAATTTAGAGGGATGTTTAAGTCTTTATACATATATTTTAATTCCCCCCAAAAAAAATCTATGTGAGACTACACTATTGACAGTGATCTGAAAATCTGTGATCTTTTCTCATTTAGCAGTTTTGCAAGAGATTTGCTTTGTGGACTTGAGGAAACAACACCCTCAAAGTTGCTAATAGATAATTTAAATTATGTTAAGTAACATTTTTTATTTAATCCATGAGAAATTCCAAATTGAATCTGTTAGAATGTAAGTTATAGCAGGCTAATTAATAAATGGGATAACTATGTTGTCCTTTTTAATAAGAAACAGCACCCCTCCATAGACCAAAAATGAAGACGCTAGAAATTCAGAAACACTAGTCTCCGTTCTAGTTCTGCCATTAAATTTCTATGTGATCTGAGGTGTCTCCTTTAACTTCTCTGTGTCCCATGTTTTCTTATTAGCAATATGAAGAATAATAAGGCTGGCCTACAGTTATTCTTTTAAAGGTGATGGTCAAAAACAGTATAAATGATAAGGGCTTATAAAATAGTGTGTTTTTTTACTTACAATATTATTTGAATTTAAAATAATTTTATTTTATTTTACATGGTATGATAGACAATTTAAAATCATGGAATTTTATCTATTAGTTTTACATAAAGCTCATGGAAATAGTTCAATAATTGGCAAAGTGGCCTGGTTCATATTTTAGCAATGTCTGCGCTGTGAGAGTTTCACACAGAAATCACTCAAGCTTTATAACCATAGCATAATCAGATGTATCTAATACTTATCCCAATAATAGAACTGCCCACTTACTGAATTAATTGAAAAGAATAAAAATGTTAAAACTCAATTTTCAGGCATGTCATTAGGTTTTTTTTTTTTTTTTCCATCAAGGAGTTGCATAGAAACAACCAGATTCACCAGCACTCAAGATGAGACCTTCAGGAAAAATACCTCTAATTAATAAATCAATAAGAGCTGCTGTTACAGAAATGCCAGGGGTTCATTCTAGGTCCTGCTACTCAGTACACACAATGCCAATCACTAAGTCAAAGAGTATCTCTAGATAAGAGGGCTTTAATTGGGTGCTGCAGCTGAGGAGAACAAGAGATCAGTCTCAAGTACGTCTTCTCTAACAACTAAAATGAGAGGTTCATATATCAGGAAAGAAATGTAATTACATGTGGGGAAAACAAGAATTAGGAAGTGGTAAGGAAGAGAGGAGTTGGTCAATAGCAAGCAGGTGGTTGTTTAGGCAGTAAAAACAGGTGAGCCATCTGCTGTCTCATTGTCTAGATGCAGTGATCTGGTAAGTTTCAGTTCCTTGATACTCTCTAGAAGGCCTGATAGGAACTCTAAAAAGACAAATGCAACTTTCTCAAGTTTTAAGACTTGGAAGGTAAATTTCTATGTTTATTCAGAATGAACCATAAACATCAGCTCTATGGGACAACTGGGCTGATTTTACTACCACTTAGCCCCTCGGAAAGGTTTACCTAATAAAGCAGGAACTCAGGCGGAGGGAGAAAATTTCAGAAGTCTGGTACAAACAATGGAAAAAACGGTTGAAAGGGAGAGGCAATTTTGAGTACTTTTGTGTGCGTGTGTCACTCAGATTGTCTTCTGACCCAGTTGATAGTGACTTGTAAAAAAGGCTTGGACACAAGAAGATAAAGGAAAGGTGGTGTCAAAGAACTGTGTCTCTGGGTCTCTATTAAATGGTAGGAAAAGCACATGAAGGGGCCACACCTGATAAAGGAAGATACCTACCTTCTTAGTAACATCACATTTAGAATGGGAGCCTACATTTAGCTCTGCAAAATTCAAGAATAGCAAAGCTCCATGTCATCCTAATATACATGTCAACATATGTGAGGCCAAGCCATCTCAGTAAAAAATTATTCATAGAAAAGGAATGGATTATAGTCTATGAAGAAGTGGCAAGCCACAGGATCTGAGACAAAATGAGAGTCAAAGCCATTTGCCAGCCATATGCATGAGATATTTCAGTTACTCCGTTTAGTCAGGAAGGGAGAATATGATTTTTCTAGCTAATTTTGATTGAGGAAGGTGAGCTAGAGTTATTACAGTTATTATTAGGTTGGCGCAAAAGTAATTGCAGTTTTTGCCATTAGGTTTAATATTAGGCAAAAAAACAAAAACAAAAACAAAAACAAAAACCCTAATGCAAGCAATTTTTTTTTTTTTTTTTTTGAGACGGAGTTTTTGCTCTTGTTGCCCAGGCTGGAGTGCAATGGGGCGATCTCAGCTCACCACAACCTCCGCCTCCCAGGTTCAAGCGATTCTCCTGCCTCAGCCTCCCGAGTAGCTGGGATTACAGGCATGCGCCTCCACGCCTGGCTAATTTTGTATTTTTAGTAGAGATGGGGTTTCTCCACGGGGTTTCTCCATGTTGGCCAGGCTGGTCTCCAACTCCCGACCTCAGGTGATCCGCCCGCCTCGGCCTCCGTAAGTGCTAGGATTACATTCGTGAGCCACCACGCCCGGCCATGCAAACTATTAATATTATTTTAATTCTCTTATAAGGAGGACTGAAAAGGCAAAAAATAAAAATAAAAAAAGAACACTTTGGATCTTATGGGAATATGATGATGACCAGGGAAAAGGGTAAAAGATAGAGGAAAGCAAACTTCTCTTACTTGGTTTGTTCAGTAATTTGTTTATCTTTTATGGAGTATATCAAATCACACTGTGATTTTGATGCTTCATGACTTAAAAATAAGGATCTTACAACAATACTTAAATCAATTTAGCTAGTTTTTTTAACCTTATGCCTTGCATTTAGGATCTGAAAATAAAATGAACTTAGCTAGTTTTAAGTCCTTGTCAGAAGTTTAGTTATACCCTTCAGTTCTCTAAACTAATTATCATAAATCATAAAATACAGCTTTTATCATGCCTGATGATTTAGCATGTATTATGATTAATGTTTGTATGTAGGAAATTATCTCAGCCTTTTAGATGAAACATTTTAGTTTTAGAAACCCATTTCTCAAGCCGTTCTTTTATATTTGTGCTGAAGGACTGCTGCAAACACCCATTTGTATGTTGAAGCCCTAATCCCCCATGTGATAGTATTAAGAGGTGGGGTCTTCTGGAGGTAATTAGGTTTAGATTAAGTCATGAGGATGAGATCCTCGTGATGGGAATAGTGCCCTTATAAGAAGAGCCTGGAGAGCTTGCTCTTGCTCTCTCTCCCTCATGTGAGGATATATCAAGAAGGCAAACATCTACAAGCCAGCAAGATGGCCCTCAACAGAACCCACCATGCTGTCACCCTGATCTTAAACTTCCTAGCCTTCAAAAGTGTGAGGAATAAATTCCTATTGTCTGAGCCACCGAGTTCTATGACATTTTTTTTAAAAAATCATAATTATCTTATTTTATTTTTTTAAGTTCCGGGATACATGTGTAGGATGTGCATGTTTATTACATAGGTAAACGTGTGCTATGATGGTTTGCTGCACCTGTCAACCCATCACCCAGATATTAAGCCCAGGGTGCATTGCTCTTTTCCCTAATGCTCTCTCCCTACCATCCTCCACCAACAGGCCCCAGTAAGTGTTGTTCCCCTCCCCTTGTCCATGTGTTCTCATTGTTCAGCTTCCACTTATAAGTGAGAACATGCGGTGTTTGGTTTTCTGTTCCTGCATTAGTTTGCTGAAAATAATGGCTTCCAGCTTCATCCATGTTCCTGCAAAGGACATGACCTCCTTTCTTTTTATGGCTAAATAGTATTCCATGGTGTATATGTACCACATTTTCTTTATCCAGTCTGTTATTGATAGGTACTTGGGTTGATTCCATGTCTTTGCTGCTGTGAATAGTGCTGCAAGGAACAAACACGTGCATGTAGCTTTTTAATAGAATGATTTATATTCCTTTGAGTATGCACCCAATAATGGGATTACTGGGTCAAATGGTATTTCTGGCTCTAAATCTTTGAGGAATCTTCACCATCTTCCACAATGGTTGAACTAATTTACATTCCCACCAACAAATGTAAAAGTGTTCCTATTTCTCTGCAACCTCACCAACATTTCTTGTTTCTTGACTTTTTAACAATCGCCATTCTGACTGGCATGAGATGGTATCTCATTGTAGTTTTGATTTGCATTTATCTAATGATCAGTGATGTTGAGCTATTTTTTCACGTTTGTTGGCCACATGCATGTCTTTTTTTGAGAAGTGTCTATTCATATCATTTGCCCACTTTTTAATGCGGTTGCTAGTTTTATTCACGTAAATTTGTTTAAGCTCCTTGTAGATTATGGATATGAGCTCTTTGTCAGATGGATAGATTGCAAAAATTTTCTCCCATTCTGTAGGCTGTTTGCTCTGATAGTTTCATTTGCTGTGCAGAAGGCTGTTTAGTTTAATTAGATCCCATTTGTCAATTTTTGCTTTTGTTGCAATTGCTTTTGGTGATTTCATCATAAAGTCTTTGGCCATGCCTATGTCCTGTATGATATTGCCTAGATTCTCTTCTAGGGTTTTTATAGTTTGGGTTTTACATTTAAGTCTTTAATCCATCTTGATTTTTGTATAAGGTGTAAAGAAATGATCTAGTTTTAATTTTATGCATATGGCTAGCCAGTTCCCTCAGCACCATTTATTAAATAGGGAATCCTTTCACCACTGCTTGTTTTTGTCAGGCTCCTAGAAGATCAGATGGTTGTAGATGTGTGGTTTTATTTCTGAGTTCTCTATTCTGTTCCATTGGTCTATGTGCCTGTTTTTGTATCAGTACCATGCTGTTTTGGTTACTGTAGCCTTGTAGTATAGTTTGAAGTCAAGTAGTGTGATAACTCCAGCTTTGTTCTTTTTGCTTAGGATTGTCTTGGTTATGTGAACTCTTTTTTGGTTCCATATGAATTTTAAAATAGTTTTTTTTTTAATTTTTTGAAGAATATCCATGGTAGTTTAATGGGAATAGTATTGAATCTCTAAATTGCTTTGGGCAGTATGGCCATTTTCATAATATTGATTCTTCCTACTCATGAACATGGAATGTTTTTCCATCTGCTAGCGTCCTCTTTGATTTCCTTGAGCAGTGGTTTGTAGTTCTCCTTGAAGAGGTCCTTCACTTTTCTTGTTAATTGTATTCCTAGGTATTTTATTCTATTTGCAGCAATTGTAAATGTGAGTTCATTCATGATTTGGGTTTCTGCTTGTCTGTTGTTGGTGTATAGGAATGCTTGTGATTTTTGCACATTGATTTTGTATCCTGAGACTTTGCTAAAGTTGCTTCTCAGTTTAAAAAGCTTTTGAGGTGAAATGATGGGGTTTTCTAGATATAAGATTAAGTCATCTGCAAACAAAGACAATTTGACTTCCTCTCCTCCTATTTGAATACACTATTTCTTTCTTTCGCCTAATTGCCCTGGCCAGAACTTCCAACACTATGTTGAATATGAGTGGTGAGAGAGGGCATCCTTGTCTTGTGCCAGTTTTCAAGGGGAATGCTTCCAGGTTTTTCCCAGTCAGTATGATATTGGCTGTATGATATTTGTCATAAATGGCTCTTATTATTTTGAGGTACATTCCTTCAATACGTAGTTTATTGACAGTTTTTAACATGAAGGGATGTTGAATTTATATTGAAGGCCTTTTCTGTGTCTTTTGAGATAATCATGTTGTTTTTTTCTTTAATTCTGTTTATGTGATGAATTACATTTATTGATTTATGTACATTGAACTAGCTTTGCGTCCTGGGGATGACGCCAACTTGATCATGGTGGATAAGTTTTTCGATGTGCTGCTGGATTCAGTTTGCCAGTATTTTACTGAGAATTTTTGCATCAATGTTCATCAGGAATATTGGCCTGAAGTTATTTTTTTGCTGTTGTATCTCTAACAGGTTTTGGTATCAGGAAGATGCTGGCCTCATAAAATGAGTTAGGGAAAAGTCTCTCCTTTCCTTTTTTTTAAATTTTATTATTATTATACTTTAAGTTTTAGGGTACATGTGCACCGTGTGCAGGTTTATTACATATGTATACATGTGCCATGTTGGTGTGCTGCACCCATTAACTCATCATTTAGCATTAGGTATATCTCCTAATGCTATTGTTTGGAATAGTTTAGGAGGAAATGATACGAGTTCCCCTTTGTACCTCTGGTAGAATTCAGCTGTAAATCCATCTGGACCTGGGCTGTTTTTGGTTGGTAGGCTATTTATTACTACCTAAATTTCAGCACGTGTTATTGGTTTATTCAGGGATTCAACTTCTTCCTGGATCAGGCTTGGGAGGGCCAGAAATTTATCCATTTCTCCCGGATTTTCTGGCTTATTTGCATAGAGGTGTTTATAGTATTATTTGATGGCAATTTGTATTTCTCTGGCGTCAGTGGTGGTATCCCCCTTATCATTTCTGATTGTCTTTATTTCAGTCTCCTCTCTTTTCTTCATTAGTCTATGTAGCTGTCTATCTATTTTGTTATGTTTTTCAAAAAAAAAAGTTCCTGGATTCATTGATTTTTTGAAGGGTTTTTTGTCTCTTTCTCCTTCAGTTTGGCTCTGAGCTTGGCTATTTCTTCTCTTCTGCTAGCTCTGGGGTTGTTTGCTCTTGGTTCTCTAGTTCTTTTAGTTGTAATGTTAGTGTGTTGATTTCAGAACTTTCTAGCCTTTTGATATGGGCATTTTAGTGCTATAAATTTGCACTGAAAACTGCTTTAGCTGCATCCCAGAGATTCTGACACATTGTCTCTGTATTCCTATTGGTTTCAAAGAACTTCTTGATTTCTGCCTTTATTTCACTATTTACCCAGCAGTCATTCAGGAGCAAATTGTTCAATTTCCATGTAGCTGTGTGGTTTTGAGTGAGCTTTATTATTATTATTATTATTATACTGTAAGTTCTGGGATACATGTGCAGAACATGCAGGTTTGTTACATAGGTATATATATGCCATGGTGGTTTACTGCACCCATCAACTCATCATCTACATTAGATATTTCTCCTAATGCTATCCCTCCCGTAGCCCCCAAACCCCCAACAGGCCCTGGTGTGTGATGTTCCCCTCCCTGTGTCCATGTGTTCTCATTGTTCAACTCCCATTTATGAGTGAGAACATGCAGTGTTTGCTTTTCTGTCCATGTGTTAGTTTGCTGTGAATGATGGCTTCCAGCTTCATGCATGTCCCTGAAAAGGACAAGAACTCATCCTTTTTTATGGCTGCATAGTATTCCATGGTATATATGTGCCACATTTCCTTTATCCAGTCTATCATTGATGGGAAATTGGGTTTGTTCCAAAACTTTTCTATTGTGAACAGTGCCGCAAGAAACATACATGTGCATGAGTCTTTATAGTAGAATGATTTATAATCCTTTGGGTATATACCCAGTAATGGGATTGCTGGGTCAAATGGTATTTCTGGTTCTAGATCCTTGAGGAATCACCACACTGTCTTCCACAATGGTTGAACTAATTTACACTCCCACCAACAGTGTAAAAGCATTCCAATTTCTCCACATCCTCTCCAGCATCTGTTGTTTCCTGACTTTTTAATGATCACCATTCTAACTGGCATGAGATGGTGTCTCATTGTGGTTTTGATCTGCATTTCTCTAATGACCAGGGATTATAAGCTTTTTTTCATGTTTGTTGGCCACATAAATGTCTTCTTTTGAGATGTGTCTGTTTACATCCTTCACCCACTTTTTGATGGGGTTGTATGTTTTTTTCTTGTAAATTTGTTTAAGTTCCTTGTAGATTCTGGATATTAGATCTTTGTCAGATGGATAGATTGGAAAAAATTTTCTCCCATTCTGCAGGTTGCCTGTTCACTCTGATGATGGCTTCTTTTGCTATACAGAAGATCTTTAGTTTAATTAGATCCCATTTGCAATTTTGGCTTTTGTTGCCATTGTTTTTGGTGTTTTAGTCATTAAGTCTTTGCCCATGCCTATGTCCTGAATGGTATTGTCTAGGTTTTCTTCTAGGATTTATATTGTTTTAGGTCTTACCTTTAAGTCTTTAATTTATCTTGAGTTAGTTTTTGTCAAAGGTGTAAGGAAGGGGTCTAGTTTCAGTTTTCTGCTTATTGCTAGCCAGTTTTCCCAACACTATTTACTAAATAGGGAATCCTTTCCCCATTGCTTGTTTTTGTCAGGTTTGTCAAAGATCAGATGGTTGTAGATATGTGGTGTTACTTCTGATGCCTCTATTCTGTTCCGTTGGTCTATATATCTGTTTTGGTACTCATACCATGTTTTTTGGTTACTGTAGCCTTGTAGTATAGTTTGAAGTCAGGTAGCATGATGCCTCCAGCTTTGTTCTTTTTGCTTAAGATGGTCTTGGCTATACGGGCTCTTTTTTTGGTTCCAAAGGAAATTTAAAGTAGTTTTTTCCAATTCTGTGAAGAAAGTCAATGATATCTTGATGGGGATAGCATTGAATCTATAAAATACTTTGGGCAGTATGGCCATTTTCACGATATTGATTCTTCCTATTCATGGCCATGGGATGTCTTCCCATTTGTTTGTGTCCTCTCTTATTTCCTTGAGCAGGGGTTTGTAGTTCTCCTTGAAGAGGTCCTTCACATCTCTTGTAAGTTGTATTCCTAGGTATTTTACTCTCTTTGTAGCAATTGTGAATGGCAGTTCACTCATGATTTGGCTCTCTGTTTGTCTATTATTGGTGTATAGGAATGCTTGTGATTTTTGCACATTGATTTTGTATCCTGAGACTTTGCTGAAGTTGCCTATTGGCTTAAGGAGATTTTGGGCTGAGACGATGGGGTTTTCTAAATATACAATCATGTCATCTGCACAGACAATTTGACTTCCTCTCTTCCTATTTGAATACCCTTTATTTCTTTCTCTTGCCTGATTGCCCTAGCCAGACTTCCAATACCATGTTGAATACGAGTGGTGAGAGAGGCCATCCTTGTCTTGTGCCAGTTTTCAAAGGGAATGCTTCTAGCTTTTGCCCATGCAGTATGATATTGGCTGTGGGCTTGTCATAAATAGCTCTTATTATTTTGAGATATGTTCTATCAATACCTAATTTATTGAGAGTTTTCAGCATGAAATGGTGCTGAATTTTATCGAGGCCTTTTCTGCATCTATTGAGATAGTCATGTGGTTTTTGTCATTTGTTCTGTTTATGGGATAGATTGGTCTACTGTATTCAGGAGACACATCTCACATGCAAAGACACACATAGGCTCAAAATAAAGGGATGGATGAATATTTACCAAGCAAATGGAAAGCAAAAAAAAAAAAAAAAAAGGTAGAGGTTGCAATTCCAGTCTCTGATAAAGTAAACTTTAAACCAACAAAGATCAAAAGAGACGAAGAAGGGCATTACATAATGGTAAAAGGATCAATGCAAAAAGAAGAACTCACTATTCTAAATATATATGCACGCAATACAGGATCACCCAGATTCATAAAGCAAGTTTTTAGAAACCTACAAAGAGATTTAGACTCCCACACATTAATAGTGGGAGACTTTAACACCCCACTGTCAATATTAGACCAATACACAAGACAGAAAATTAACAAGTATATTCAGGACTTGAACTCAGCTCTGGACCAAGCAGACCTAATAGACATCTGCAGAACTCACCACCCCAATTCAACAGAATATACATTTTTTCTGAGCACCACATCACACTTATTCTAAAATTGACCACATAATTGGAAGTAAAACACTCCTCAGGAAATGCAAAAGAGTGGAACTCATAACAAACAGTCTTTCAGACCACAGTGCAATCAAATTAGAACTCAGAATTAAAAAACTTACTCAAAACTGCACAATTACATGGAAACTGAACAACCTGCTACTGAATGACTACTGGGTAGATAGCAAAATTAAGAGAGAAATAAAGATGTTCTTTGAAACCAATGAGAACAAAGACACAATGTACCAGAATCTCTGGGACACAACTAAAACAGTGTTTAGAGGGAAATTTATAGCACTAAATGCCCACAGGAGAAATCGGCATTTCTCCTAAATGCCCTAACACCCTAACATCACAATTAAAAGAACCAGAGAAGCAAGAGCAAACAAATTCAAAAGCTAGCAGAAGATAAGAAATCAACACCCTAACATCACAATTAAAAGAACTAGAGAAGCAAGAGCAAACAAATTCAAAAGCTAGCAGAAGATAAGAAACAACTACGATCAGATCAGAACTGAAGGATATAGAGAGATGAAAAATTCTTCATAAAATCAATAAATCCAGGAGCTGGTTTTTTTGAAAAGATTAACAAGATAGATAGACCACTAACCAGACTAATAAAGAAGAAAAGAGAGAGGAATCAAATAGACACAATAAAAAATGATAAATGGGAGATCACCACTGATCCCGCAGAAATACAAACTACCATCAGAGAATGCTATAAACACCTCTACGCAAATAAACTAGGAAATCTAGAAGAAATGGATAAATTCCTAGACACATACACTCTCCCAAGACTAAACCAGGAAGAAGTCGAATCCCTGAATAGACCAATAACAAGTTCTGTAATTGAGGCAGTAATTAATAGCCTACCAACCAAAAAAAGCCCAGGACCAGATGGATTTACAGTCAAATTCTACCAGAGGTAGAAAGAGGAGCTGGTACCATTCCTTCTGAAACTATTCCAAACAATAGAAAAAGAGGGACTCCTCCCTAACTCATTTTATGAGGTCAGCATCATCTTGATACCAAAACCTGGCAGAGACACACACACAAAAAGAAAATTTCAGCCCAATATCCCTGATGAACATTGATGTGAAAATCCTCAATTAAATACTGACAAACTGAATCCAGCAGCACATCAAAAAGCTTATCCACCACCATGAAGTCGACTTCATCCCTAGGATGCAAGGCTTGAGTGGGCTTTTTGATATTGAGCTCTAATTTGATTGCGCTGTAGTCTGAGAGACTGTTAGTTTTGGTTTCAGTTCTTTTGCATTTGCTGAGGAGGGCTTTACTTCCAATTATGTGGTTAATTTTAGAGTAAGTGCCATGTGACACCGAAAAAAGATGTATATTCTTTTCTTTTGGGATGGCGAATTATGTAGGTATCTATCAGGTCCACTTGGACTGGAACTGTGTTCAAGTCCTAAATATCGTTGTTAATTTTCTGTCTTGATAATCTGTCTAATACTGACAGTGGGTTATTAAAGTCTCCCACTATTGTTGTGTGGGGGTCTAAGTTTCTTTATAGGTCTCTAAGAACTTGTTTTATGAATCACGGTGAATCATAAAATCAGAACTTGTTTTATGAATCGTAATATATATTAGGTGACTATATATTAGGACAGTTAATTTTTCTTGTTGAACTGAGCCCTTTAACATTATATAAAGCCCTTCTTTGTCTTTTTTGAACTTTGTTGGTTTAAAGTCTATTTTGTCAGAAACTAGGATTGCAAACCCTGCTTTTTTCTCCTTTCCATTTGCTTGGTTTATTTTCCTCCATCCTTTTATTTCGAGTCTATGTGCATCTTTACATGTAAGATCTGTCTCCTGAATACAGCACACCGATGGGTCTTGTCTTTGTATCAAGCTTGCCATTCTGTGTCTTTTAATTGGGGTTTTTAGCTCATTTACATTTAAGGTTAATATTGTTATGTGTGGATTTGATCCTGTCATCATGATGCTAGCTGGTTAAATTTGCAGTCTTGTTAATGTAGCAACTGCTTCATAGTGTCATTAGGCTGTGTACTTCAGTGTGTTTTTGTAGTGGCTGGTAATGGTTTTTCCTATCCTTGTTTAGTACTTCCTTCAGGAGTTTTTACAAGGCAGGCCTGGTGGTGACAAAATCCCTCACCATTTGCTTGTCTGAGAAAGATTTTATTTCTCCTTCACTTATGAAGCTTCATTTGGCTGGATATGATATTCTGGTTCTCATTATTTTGAACTAAGTTCCTTCTCTTTAAAGGAATTTACTTTTTTTTTTAAAGAATGTTGACTATTGGCTCCCAATCTCTTCTGGCTTGTAGGGTTTATGCAGAGAGGTCAGCTGTTAGTCTGATGGGTTTCCCTTTGTACGTGACCTGGTCTTTCTCTCTGGCTGCCCTTAATATTTCTTTCTTTCTTTCAGCTTTGGAGAATCTGATTATTATGTGTCTTGGAATAGATCTTTTCATGGAGTATCTTATTGGGAGTCTCTGGATTTCCTGAATTTGAATATAGGCCTGTCTTGCTAAATTGGGGAAGTTCTCCTGGATTATATCTTGCAGTGTGTTTTCCAACTTGCTTCTATTCTCCCCATCTCTTTCAGGTACTCCAATTAGTCATAGGTTTGGTCTTACAGAGTCCCACAGTTAAAAACCCCAGAGGTTTTGTTTATTCCTTTTCATTCTTTTTTTCTCTAATCTTTTCTGCTTGCCTTATTTCAGCAAGATAGTCCTCAAGCTCTAATAGTCTCTCTCCTGCTTGGTTGATTTGGCTATTGATACTTGTGTTTGCATCATGAAGTTCTCATCCTGTGTTTTTCAGCTTCATCAGGTCATTTATGTTTCACTCTAAACTGGTTATTCTAGTTAACAAATCCTGTAATCTTTTATCATGGTTCTTAGCTTCTTTGCAGTGGGTTAGAATATAATCCATTAGCTTGGCGAAATTCGTTATTATCCACTTTTTTTTTTTTTGAGATGGAGTCTCGCTCTGTCGCCCATGCTGGAGTGCAGTGGCGCCATCTTGGCTCACTACAACCTCCATCTCCAGGTTCAAGCGATTCTCCTGCCTTAGTCTTCCCAGTAGCTGCGCCAACATGCCCAGCTAATTTTCATATTTTTAATAGAGACGGGGTTTCACCATGTTGGCCAGGCTGGTCTCAAACTCCTGACCTCAGGTGATAGCCTGCATCGGCCTCCCAAAGTGCTGGGATTACAGGTGAGAGCCACAGCGCCTGACCTATTACCCACTTTCTGAAGCCTACTCTTGTCAGTTCATCCATCTCAGCTGCAGCCCTGTTCTGTGCCCTTGCTGGAGAAGTGTTGTGGTCATTTGGAGAAGAGGCATACTGGCTTTTGGAATTTTAAGCGTTTTTGCATTAGTTTATCGTAATCTTTGTGGATTTATCTACCTTTGATCTTTGAGGCTGATGACCTTTGGATGGGGCTTTTGTCGGGGGTGGGGGTGGCTGTCTTTTATGTTGATGTTGCCGTTGTTGCTTTTAGTTTGTTAGTTTTTCTTCTAACAGTCTGGCCCATCTTCTGCAGATCTGTTGCAGTTTGCTGGGGTTCACTCCAGACCCTGGTTGCCTGGGTATCACCTGTAGAGGCTGCAGAACAGCAAAGATTTCTGCCTGCTCCTTCCTCTGGAAGCTTTGTCCCAGAGAGGCACCAGCCTGATGCCAGCCAGAGCTCTCCTGTATGAGGTGTCTGTCAACCGCTGTTGGAAGGTCTCTCCCACTCAGAAGGCATGGGGTCAGGGACCCGCTTGAGAAGGCAGTCTCTGCCTTAGCAGAGTTGGTGCACTGTGCTGGAAGAATGCCCCTTGTCAGGATCCGCCCCTCTCTTTACAGCCATCAGGCAGGAAAGATTAAGTCTTTAGAAACTGAGACTGTAGCTGCCCCTCCCCCCAGATGCTCTGACCCAGGGAGATGAGAGTTCTGTGTGTAAGCCCCTTACTGGAGCTGCTGTATTTTCTGTAGAGATGCCCTGCCTGGTGAGGAGGGATCTAGAGAAGCAGTCTGGCCACTGCCACTTTGCTGCGCTGTGGCGAATTCCTCCCAGTCCAACCTTGCCAATCTCCTTAGCACTGTCAGGGGAAAACTGACTACTAGAGCCACAGTAATGGCAGTCCCTCCTCTCCCCCGACCCTGAACTCAGTTGTCCCAGTCAGACTACAGATGTATGTGCTGGTAGTGGGAATTTCAAGCCGGTGGTTCTTAGCTTGCTGGGCTCCGTGGGAGTGGGACCCGCTGAGTGAGACCCTGGCTTCAGCCCCCTCTTCACGGGACTGGATGGTTCTCCTGTCTCACTGGAGTTACAGGTGTTGCTGCAGTATGTAAAAACTCCTGCAGCTCAGTGCCTGTCTAAACAGGTGCCCAGGTTTGTGTTTGAAACCCGGGACCTTGGCGGTGTAGGCTCATGAGGGATTCTCCTGATCCGCAGATTACAAAAGTCCGTGGGAAAAAACAAATAACCCTGGCGGGTAGCAGAGTTCCTCACCACTTCTATTGGCTGCGGGAGAAAGGTCTCTCCCTCTGTACACTTCCCAGGTGAAGCGACGCCAAACACTGCTCCTGCTTGCTTTCTTGGGTTGTGCCCACTGCCTAGCCAGTCCCAGTGAAATGAACTGGGTATCTCAGTTGGAAATGCAGAAATCACTCACCTTCTATGTGGATCTCGCTGGGAGGTGCAGACCGGAGCTGTTTCTATTTGGCCATCTCGGGCCCTACAAGGAGCATTTTGTTTTATCAGCCCCAGTTGACTAAGATGATGACTCTTTTACTTCTTATCATTTTTTCTTCAGTAGTCAAATATCTGCAGAAATCTGGTTTATTGTAAACATTTAACAGGAATGGATATTTGAAAGTAAATCAGTTTGACTTATACATCTTTATGGCTATTGTGACAATATACATTACTAGTCAGGAGTCACTCTGAAGCAGATAGGCAAAGCAAGCAGAACATAAATATGCCAATAAATTTCACAATTGTGGGTACTGAATAAATGTAAGTCTGTGAAATAGAGTAACCAACGTGAAAAAATAAGAAAACTGTTTGTGGTCATTAAAAAAAATAGAAAAACTCCAATAAGAACTTAGAAAAGTATGACTATGTATTTAGGAGAGCCTACCCCATATGATCTCTGATTTAAATAGTATTAAATAAGAACAGGTTATCTTATATTTTTATTGTCAGACTCAAAACTGATGAAGGATGATATATATGTTGTAAGCATAGTTAAATATGTAAGCTGCCTCAAGGTGGAATGAAGAAATATAGAATATATATATACATATATATGTGTATATATATACATATATATGTGTATATATATACGTATATATGTGTATATATATACACATATATATGTATATATATACGTATATACGTATATATATACATATATGTGTATATATATACGTGTATATATATGCATAGTCAAGTTACGATACTATTGAAAACATCTAATTGTGTTTAGGAGGAGAAAATAAGCACATTTCTGGCCATAGACTTGCCTTTCCTTTGGAATAAAGAGAAGTAAGGAAAGAAAAGATTCTTCAGAATTGCCCTCCACTTCTCTAATGTCATTAATTTTTTAAAGTCTTACCTCAAATTTCACTCTGAGTTGAAACTCCCTGACCTGCATCATCACCCTTTTTTCCTTCACTTCCAATTACATTCTGCAATAACCACTCTTGACTTCCTTAAGATTATAGGAGACTATATATAAACTTTAGGTCAGGCAACATGAAAAACGTGTTCTTGAATTTTTTAAAAATCCTCTGTTCATTTCACACGATAGAGAAGTCTTTAAAATCCCTAAAAAGGAAGTTTTCCTATTACAGACTAACTACTGAATCTCCCATTTATTTCTTAAGTTTCGATCTCATGTGGAGACAACATATAACCCTGAACAATTACTCAAATATTTATTAAAAAACAAGTGACTTTATTCATATTTTAACAACATCCTGTTTTAAAAACAAATTTAATAAACAAAAGCTGACAATCTTTTAAAGTATAATTTTCTCTTCATATATCAGCAACACATATATACCCTCTAAACAAATTTATTTTTGGTTTAACTTTTAAATAAGTATTTGACAATGTGGTAAATATGCAAGTTAGAAAAGGCATATTAAGACACACCAGGAGTTAACTTGACTGTTGGTGACAGACTTCTAGGAAAGAAGACAATGGGACAGTTTTTCAAGTCCTTCAAATTTGAATACTCTCACATTATAACAGCTAGTACACCCTTTCTAGAATAAGACTCTTACCTGTTGTGGTCATTATAGTCCAAATTCTGATTAAATTCTGATTTTTAAATTGCTCTTGCTCTGACCAGCAGCTGCATTTTTCTGAAAGTCTCAGTGCTGCTGGATAACTTAGCACTGTCATTTTTATATCAAAATTTTCTCTTGCTAGCTGAAGAGAAACAATTCTTTAAAATAGAAATGAGTCTGCTTTTAACAAGCCCTAAAACCATCCCTGTTCTTACTGGGTTTGTGGTATTGCTGTAAGAGAATGTTTATTATTCTTCTGCACAAATAAATTTTATTTATGTCCAAATTTTCCACTATATCATCTCCTTAATTTCTGTGCCACTTTATTTAAAATAACTAAATTTTATATGTCAATGCATATTTAACTGTTATGAATAAGAATGTAAAATATACAGTTACTTCTGTTGTGTCCAGTTCCTTTCTCTAAATCCTTATTTACTTTATAGTATTCTAGACATGTAGTCAAGGGAAATGAACTTTTGCTCCTGTGAAATTTTGTAGGAAACTTTTTGCCTTAGTGCCTAAAGTCACTGAAAACAAGACAATTTTTTAAAGCTAATTTGCCAAAAGCCAACTATCCCAATGGCTAAGTTATCAAAGGAACAATTTTCTGAATGTACTCTCCTCATAGTCATTCCTCCACGTGAGTTTTCCCTCTTTCTTCACCAGCTTCTGCTGGATTTAGCTCAGGGAAATGATTGAAAAACAAATTGAAAAAAAAAATCTTTAAAAACTATTTATGGGCTAAAATGAAAGTTAACAACTAAAACGTTATGGAAATCTCAAAAGCTGTTAAACACATAATTCAGCCCGGGCGCGGTGGCTCACGCCTGTAATCCCAGCACTTTGGGAGTCCGAGGCAGGTGGATCACGAGGTCAGGAGATCGAGACCATCCTGGCTAACACAGTGAAACCCTGTCTCTACTAAAAAAAAAAAAAAAAATCCAAAAAATTAAATTAGCTGGGCTTGGTGGCAGAAGCCTGTAGTCCCAGCTACTCCAGAGGCTGAGGCAGGAGAATGGTGTGAACCTGGGAGGCGGAGCTTGCAGTGAGCGGAGATCGAGCCACTGCACTCCAGCCTGGGCTAGAGAGCAAAACTCTGTCTCAGAAAAAAAAAAAAAAAAAAAAAAAACCAACAAAACAAAAAACATAATTCAAATTGCTGTAAACTTTATAATGACTACAGAAACAACTACATATGTCTTTCACAAAGAAAATGCTAACTGAAGAGAAACAATTCTTTAAAACAGAAAGAATTTATTCTGAAAGACAGCTAGTGTTTCAGAGATGTTGTCCAGTCAGTGAATTGAATTTTGCGGAAGTGAATTTAGCAAATAAACCTAGACAGAGCTCAAGTTGCAAGGAATAATTAGAAAAAGATCAGGAATTGAAGAAGTGGAGCAATAATGGGCTGACAACAGGGTAAATTGGCAAGTTTCAAGAGGAGTAAAAGTTGAGACTGAGTTAAATTAGGTATAGCACTTTCCTGTCAGCTTTTATTTTACTTCTGGGAAAAGTATGTTTTCTTGGTAACAATCCTGGGATGTAAGTTGTGATAATATATCCTGCAAAAGTCAAACACAGGTGTCCTGAGTCAACCTAAAGCAGCAGGTAAGGGCTATGGAGCCCTTGGACATCAGAATAATAGTATTGCAAATGTGACTCAATGTCTAAACCAAAGCTACACTAATACACTTGCAAAATAAACATTTTTTAGAAAGGTTCTTATTTTCTCTCATCCCCAGTTTGGTGTACTGAAATTCAGTTTTGGCACTAACCATCCAGAGTTAGCATAGACATTCAAGGTTACTTAAGACATCTGCTGCCTTTCAGAGGTTCCCAGGCCTCCTGCACTTTTGATCCACTGACTATAAATTTAGGGTTTCCCATGACACCCTCAGATTTAGTAATTAATTAGAATGATTTACAGAAGTTACAAAAGCATTACACTTTTGCAGTTTTATCATAAAACATACAAATCAGGAAGACCAGCCAAATAAAGAGACACATAGGATGACGTATTGAAAGGAACGCAGAGCTTCTGTGTCCTCTCTCACTGGAATGAAGGTTTATTTTTCTCACAGCAAAACAATATGTTCACTAACTGGGACACTGCACTAAATGTTAGTATCTAGTGTTTTACTGGGGTTTTATTATGTAGAAATTACTGATTGATTCAATCATTGGCTGTATCGTTTAGCTCAAACTCTTGCCCCTTCATTCCCTGAACATTGAGCTGGCTCTAGTCCCAATCCTCTAATTACCTGGTTGGTCTTTCTCGTGACCAGCTCCAATCCCAGAGCTATCTATAGGACACATTGAGTCACTTCATTCATATAACAACAAAAACCAAAACAACAAAACAACCAACAAACAAAAAAACAAACAAACTCCTACCACTGGAGAAATTCCAAGGATTTTAGAAGCTTCCTACAGAAACTCTGGACAAAGATCAGACAAACTCTTATTATACAACAGCATATATTTGCTGTTTTGAGATAAATATTTTGCTTTCTCAGCTAGATCACATTTTAATACCCTTTTCCCACTTTTATTCTCTGGATAACCTGACAGAAATGTGGAAATAGTCAGGAATAATCATAGGAGATTTACATATATTAGCTAGCAATCATCATTACAGCCTATATGATAGTATTTTATCCTAATTTTTAGATGAGAGAATTTAAGCATTGGAAAGTTGAGTAACTTGTTTCAAATCGTACACTAAGTAAGAGGCAAATCATACACTAGATTACGTTTTAATATCCCTTTCCCACTTTTATTCTCCTGGATAACCTAGCAGAAATGTGGAAGTAGGAATAATAGTAAGAGATTTACATATATTAGCTAGCAATCATTACATGCTATGAGATAGTATTTTATCCTATTTTTTAGATGAGAGAACTAAAGCATTGGAAAGTTGAGTAGCTTGCTTCAAATTATACACTGAGTAAGAAGCAAAGTCCATCCTGGAAACCAGGACAAGCCAGGCCCAAAACCTAGACACAGCAAGGGTAAAGGTTGTTGTGGTCCATTACTTCTAGGACCTTAAATGTGAGGCTGTTTTAGTATTTACCTCAAAATGGATACCAAAAGTTTTTTGGTAACATTTTCCAAACTGTGTATCAATTAGAGTATGATTTATATTTGCTTTATCTTGCAGGCCTCCACATCCAATTAACGTAAAACTCTGTTCTCCGAAGTGTTGTTCAATGTGTCCTGCTACCAAGAGGCACACTCTGCATTTTAAGATGGGTTGTATCCAAGCACTTTATTTTCCTTAAGGTAGCCATGTAATTACCAAATGGCTGCAGCTCTGCTCCCATGATTGGGAGGGTATTTTGATACCTAGATGTTCTTTAGCTTCTTTGTTGTTAGAAAACAGTAAAATCTACTAATTATAATTAAGACTAGTGTACTTAAATGTGGAACACATTATCACAGAAATAATACATCTTTATGACTCAAATCTATGTCAAGAAGCTGGTGGACTCTGGGACAAACACATTTAAAACATATATGCTTATACATTGTCAAGCATTTCTAAAATGGGCTTCTATTGAAACATTAGATTTTTCTGCAATTGTTAAATGTCTGTGTGCTTCAAAATTTCCAAAAGCTTCCCAAGAAAATAATCTGAAATTTTATGGAGGTGCTATATATTTTAAGCCATTAAAACACATTCTAACCTTAGAGTTTCAGCTTAAGGTGATTACTGAGTGAATTCTGGTTTTTCAGTAACCTGTGCTCTCAACAGGAAAATAGTCTGTAACATGTATTAATTTTTCTCTCCTCTAAACTGTGATGATGCAAGTTGAAGTCAACAGCCATTACTTAAAAAGTATAAAAATGCTGCCCACATATATTTATACTTATGTCATCAAACTGAGAATGTGATAATCCTTATCAGTGATGCTCCCTGTGGTTGACAACCAGCACCATCAGCATCACTGGGAAGATGCAAAAACCTGGGGTCCACCCCAGACTAACTGAATCAGAACTTCTAGGGTTACAGCCCAGAAATCAGTATATTCTTCAGATCATTCTGATGCATACTAAAGTTTGAGCACCATTTCCTTAGTTTATTATTTGAGATAAAACACTGAAGATGCCTTCTAAGTTATAAATGTATATGGGGTCAATGTAAGTAACATCACCAATCCTGAACACATCCATTCCAATAACCTCACATCAGCAAGAATACCTTTGTCATAATGAGTCATCTTGAACACACCTACAATAGTAAAGAATAAAACTTGTCAATTCTTATGTTGGAAGTAAATAAGAAAAGGTCTAGAATAAAGAAAAACTTTATTTGTCAGGTACAGAAGATTTGAACATGATAGAAATGCAGAAAGAAAAAGAAGGTAGAAAGTGTCTTGATGGGAGAAAGTGAGTAGCCTTGTTTCTGATTTTTTTAAATTGGCTTTTCATATATGAGAGCATAAAAGCAATATGCTGGGAGCTTTTTGAAGAGGAGGGGAACTTCCTTCTTTCTACTCTAGGTCACAGCACCTGGTTATAGCCTAAAAATATAAATAGACACATGAAATGGAGTAAAAAGGATAGTTTCACATTAGTCATGTTATCCCTCTCTCACCTCTGGCCAGCACAGCATGAAAAGAGATACTTTCTGTGTGGGAAAAAAAAGAGGAAAGTATGTGTAGGAACTTGCCTTGGGCCCCAACACTGGGCTTGCCACAGGAAAATTCAGCACTGGGAAGCCTCCACGGTCTCTACATCCAGGATAGTACCTAAGGACTGAGTCATTAGACCCACCCCAGTACCAAATGGGTGCCAATAACCTGTGTAAGAAAGATTGCTTTTTGGCCCACATCACCAATGCCTGACTGCAATGGCCTTAAATTCTGAATAAACGTCAACAGCAAGCTAACTTTAAAATCCAGGGGCTTTGGGTGTGTTCCAGAACTGCATAAGCTCCAAGTGGCCATTGAATTTCAGTCCAAGGCTGCACCAACCTTTGTGGCCACATGACTCTAGCGCAGGCTACACAAGTTGAAGCAATTCTAGGCTTAGGGTGCTTTCTAGTGCTACAAGAGCTTCAGTGGCCATGGATTTAGAGACCATACCAGTTAGTTTGCACAGAATTTCTGGACAGATTTACTGTTGAAGAACAGTCCCAGACAAAGTCAAACTACAAAGGTTAAAGCAAGTACCTAATTTTTCAATGTATACACATTGACACATGACCATAAGGATCAAGAAAAATCAGGAAAACATTTCACCAAATGGACAAAATAAAGTGCTAGTGACTAACCTTAAAAAGATGGAGATGTCTAAACTGCCTGACAAAAATTCAAAATAGGTGTGTTAAATCTCAGTGAACTTCCAAAAAATTCAGAAAAACAATTTTAAAATGTATCAGATAAATTTAACAGAAAGATTTAAACAATTTTAAAAATCAAATAGAAATTCTGGAAATAAAAACACAATGAACAAAGAAAAAAACACCATAGAGAGCATCAACAGCATAACTGATCAAAGATAATAAAGGATCTGTGAACTCAAAGACAGGTTATTTGAAAATATAAAGTTAGAGGAAAAACATAATGAAAAGTCATAAAGAAAGCTTATGTGATTGATAAGACAGCATCAAAAGGGCAAATTACCAGTCATTGACCTTCAAAACAGAATAGATGAAGATAAAATGATAAGAAGTTTATTTAATGAAATAATAGAATAAAACTTTCCAAGCCTAGAGAAAGATATAAATATCCATGTGCAGGAAGGTCAAAATCTCCAATCATATTCAATTCTAATAAGATTAACTCAAGACATTAACACTATCAAAGATTAAAGGAAAAAAGAAGGTCCTAAATGTAACAACAATAACAAAAACAAAACAGCAAATAACATATAAAGGAGTTCCAAAGCTAAGCAAATAACTTCTAAGAAGAAACCTTCCAGGGCAGGAGATAGTTGAATAATATATTTAAAGTGCTGAAGGAAAAAGACTGTCAACCAAAAATACTGTACCTAAAAAACCATCCATAAGATGTGTGTGAGAGAGAGAAAGATTTTCCTAAGCATACAAAATATGAAGTTGTAGAACAGGTATGGTGATACCTGTTCTACAAAAAAAAAAAAAAATGCTAAAGAAAGTGTTTCAAGCTGAGAAAAAGATACTAATGAGTAACATAAAAAAATCTAAAAGTATAACACTCATTGAAAAAGTAAGTACACAGTCAGATTCATAGTACTCTAATACTGTAATGGTGGAGTGTAAATCACATATGTCTATCAAGAAGGTTAAAAGATAATTCCATTAAAATAATAATAATAATTACAATGATTTTTAAGGAATATGCAATATAAGAACATGTAAATTGTGATGATTAAAATTCAAAATGTTGTGAGGAGTGGCATTAAAGTGTATGAAGGTTTATTTGTTTGTTTGTTTTTACAATTAAAGTTATCAACACGTGCTGTAACTATAGGATAATTTTTTTCAGCCTCATGGTAACCACAAAGAAAGACCCTAAAATAGATACATTAAACTAAAAAGTCAGGGATCAAACATACTAATAAAGAATATCACTTAACCACAAATAAAGACAATATGAAAGAAACAAAGAGAGAGAAAGAAAGAAGAAAGACAGACAGAAAGAAAGAAAGAAAGAAAGAAAGAAAGAAAGAAAGAAAGAAAGAAAGAAAGAAAGAAAGAAAAAATGAAGCAATCAAGCAAACAAGAAACTCAAGCAGATCCTGAGTTGTTGACCTCAGTATGTCATAGAATAAAGTCATCATTTATGTTGAAAGACACAACCCTGGCCATTTAGAAACACTTAAAAATAGAGCTTGGAATCTAGATAGTCTAAATCTTTTATAAATAAATAAACTGAGATTATGTATTTGTCAAATAAGTTGAGATAAGTTTCTAATACATTTTAGAAAGATCTTTATACTACATTTATTTTAAAAAAGTTTTAATTTTGAAACAGAGTAAACTCTCCATTCAGTAGAAAACTAGGCCATGCAGAAAGGCTCACTAGAGTTGTTGGCAGCAGACTGGCAGAAAGGAGAATGGAGGAGAAAATATGAATATGACTATACTGTCTTTGTTTATTTGTTTATAATTCCAAATAGAAACTCACTGAAGACCGCTCTTGATGGGTCCAGTTATTATTAATTGACTGAATTGGTGGTATAAATGCTGCAAATACAAGCACAGAAATTACAACCTTGAAGGAATTTTAATCAGTTTGAATTACATTACTGGCATCACCTTCCTTCTTCAGCGTGTTTTCAGTTCTATTTGCGTATTGCCTAGTTGTTGATGCTTTTTTTTTTTTTTTTTTTTTTTCAGAATTTAAGATCCCATGGTAATTCACCAGAGATGAGAGTATCAGGCTGCAGTTTTTTAGTAAGAAAATTTACAATTAATATGTATTTTGTAGTTAGAAGCACCATTGAATGACTGTAAGAGTATGCATTTTACATTTTAATCTGTGTGCATGATACATGCTAGAGTTGGACAGTAGCCAAGCTGAATGACTGTATGTGGCAGCTCTAGATTGCAAAAATTGCTGAACCACAAATTTTACAAAGGTAATTAATCATTTTTCTTTCTTCTTTTTTTAAAAAAAAAAAAAACTAAGTTCTAGGATACATGTGGAGAACGTTTAGGTTTGTTACATAGGTATACATGTGCCATGGTGGTTTGCTGCACCTATCAACTCGTCATCCAGGTTTTAAGCCCCATATGCATTAGGCATTTGTCCTAATGCTTTCCCTCCCCTTCCCCCCCACAACAACAGGCCCTAGTATGTGATGTTCTCCTCCCTGTGTCCATGTGTTCTCATTGTTCAGCTCCCACTTATGAGTGAGAAAATGCAGTGTTTGGTTTTCTGTTCCTCTGTTAGTTTGCCGAGGATGATGGTTTCCAGCTTCATCCATGTCCCTGCAAAAGACATGAACTCATCCTTTTTATGGCTGCATAGTATTCCATGGTGTATATGTGCCACATTTTCTTTATCCAGTCTATCATTGATGGGCATTTGGATTGGCTCCAAGTCTTTGCTATTGTAAATAGTGCTGCAATAAACATACATTTGCATGTGTCTTTATAGTAGCATGATTTATAATCCTTTGAGTATATACCCAGTAATGGGATTGCTGGGTGAAACGGTATTTCTGGTTCTAGATTCTTGAGGAATTGCCACATTGTCTTCCACAATGGTTGAACTAATTTACACTCTCACCAACAGTGTGAAAGCATTCCTATTTTTCCACATCCTCTACAGCATCTGTTGTTTCCTGACTTTTTAATGATTGCCATTAATGGTGTGAGATGGTATCTCATTGTGATTTTGTTTTGCATTTCTCTAATGACCAGTATGATGAGCTTTTTATCATATGTTTGTTGGCTATATAAATGTCTTCTTTTATGAGGTGTCTGTTTATGTACTTCACCCACTTTTTGATGGATTTTTTTTTTTGTAAATTTGTTGAAGTTCCTTGTAGATTCTGGACACTAGCCCTTTGTCAGATGGATAGATTGCAAAAATTTTCTCCCATTCTGCAGGTTGCCTGTTCACTCTGATTATAGTTTTTTCTTTTTTTTTTTTTTTGCTGTGCAGAAGCTTTTTAGTTTAATTAGATTCCATTTGTCAATTTGGATCATCTTTCTCTCTTTATGTTACTAAACAGAAGATGACAATAAAGTTTCCTACTCAGCAGAAATTAGGATGCTTCAATTTCATGTTGCTAAAACTTTACAGAATTTTATTCTATAAAAAAAATCCTGATATTGAGTAAAATTAACCCCTCATTTAAAAAATATCAATCAGAGTGCTCCATTTCGCAGACTATTGTCATATATATTTGAACTCTTCGCTCTTGGACTATGACTTTGAAATACCATTTCATGTGGCTTTGGGTAAAATCCATTTATACTAGATATCACTTACATTTATAAGTGTGTTTGTAGAATATTTGTAATTATAAGCGTGTTTGTAGAAATATTTGTAATTATAAGTGTGTTTGTAGAAATATTTGTACAGATGTTTGTAAAACAAGTTAAATACTTTGGTTTACTTCTGAAAAGATAAAGTTTCACATAATATTTATTATTGTTGCTATCATGGCTCTTTTCAAAAGAAAAAGCACTCATGAGTTTATACTTTAGGATATCCAAATGATCATTAATTTTTTTTAATATGAGACCGAATTTATGGATCTAGAACTTTAAATAATATGGGCTCATTAATACCCAAATATGTAGGTTTGTTATCTCACATAAGTGAGTAATACATGAGAAAGAAACATTCTGTTCTAGCTT